>NW_003315962.1:300000-385657 GCF_000001405.40 Homo sapiens | reverse complement strand
GAATTCCTCAAGGACCTAGAAACAGAAATACCATTTGACCCAGCAACCCCATTACTGGGTATATACCCAAAGGAATATAAATAATTCTGTTATAAAGATATGTGGATGTGTATGTTCATTGCAGCACTATTTACAATAGCAAAGACATGGAATCAACCCACATGCCCATCAATAATAGACTGGATAAAGAAAATGTGGTACATATACACTATGGAATACTATGCAACCATAAAAAAGAATAAGAGCATGTAGTTTGCAAAGGCATGGATAAAGCTGAAAGCCATTATCCTCAGCAAACTAATGCAGGAACACAAAACCAAACACCACATGTTCTCACTCGTAAGTGAGAGCCGAACAATAAGAACACATGGGCTGGGCACGGTGGCTCATGCCTGCAATTTCAGCACTTTGGGAGGCTGAGGTGGGCAGATCACGAGGTCAGGAGATCAAGACCATCCTGGCCAGTGTGGCGAAACCCCATCTCTACTAAAAATTCAAAAATTAGCTGAGAATGGTGGTGCATGCCTGTAATCCCAGCTACTTGGGAGGCTGAGGCAGGAGAATCGCTTGAACCAGGGTATCAGAGTTTGCAGTGAGCTGAGATCATGCCACAGCACTCCAGCCTGGCGACAGAGCAAGACTCTGTCTCAACAACAACAAAAACAAAAACAAACATGGACACATAGAGGGGAACAACACACACTGGAACCTGTCAGAGTAGGGGAAACAGCATCAAGATAAACAGCTAATGCATGCAGGGCTTCACACCTAAGTGATGAATTGATAGGTGCAGTAAACCACCATGGGACATGTTTACCTATGTAACAAACTTGTAAATCCTGTACATGTATCCCAGAACACACAAAAAATAATATTTAAACAAAACAATAACAATGAAACTGGTAATAGTAACTTTATTTCTTTAAGCAATCATTTTAAATATAAATTAATTAAACTACTTAATAAAAAAAAGTAATCTCAGGACTTTGGGAGGCCCAGAGGGGCTGATTACTTTAACTCAGGAGTCTGAGACCAGACTGGAGAACATGGCAAAATTCTGTCCCTACAAAAACAAAAACAAAAACAATAAAATGAGCTGGGCGTGACGACACACATTTGCAGCCCAGCTACTTGGAAGCTGAGATGAGATCATCTGAGTTTGGGAGGTTGAGGCTGCAGCGAGCTGTAATCATGCCACTGCAAACCAGCTTGGTTGACAGAATGAGACTCTATCTCAAAAATAGATAAATTTATAAAAAGAAAAAGAAATAAGATGCCTGAGTAGTTTAAGTAAAAAAGCATACAATACGCTGTCTATAACAGACTCATTTTAGCATTGAGTCAAATAGGCTGAAAGTAATAGAATGAAAAGAATCTATATTACATGCAAATAGTAACCATAATTGGGTGAGGTGGCAGTAATTATATTGAATATAATATGCTTTAAGTCAAGTACTAACATGAGACAAACACTGATATTATATAATGGCCAAATGGGTCAAGAATCTATAACTATCATATCTATCTATTTATGTTTATATGTATATGTATATATAACATCAGGACTCCAATATATATAAAGCATATTTTGGCAAAGGTAAAGCAAGAAATATACAGCAACACAATAATTGTAGACATCAAGATCCCATTTGCAATAATAAATAGAAAATTTAGATAAAAGATCAGTAAGAAAACAGACAACATTATAGACTGTATTAACTATTTTGCATATAGACAAATAACTGAGAGTGGATAAATTATAAAGTAAAAAGGTTTATTTGGTTTACAGTTTGGCAGACTGTATAAGAAGTGTGTGCCAGTATCTGCTTCTGGTGAGGGTCTCAGGAAACTTATAATCTTAGTGGAAGGCAGAGTAGCTGGACATATCACATGGTAAGAGACAGAGCAAGTGTGAGGTGAAGGAGACAGGTTATTTTAATGAACCAGCTCTCATTTGAATTAATGTAGTGAAAACTTTCTGATTACTAAAAGAATGGTGCCATGGCATTTATGAGAATTAGTCCCCATGACCCAAACACCTCCTACCAGGTTCCACATCCAACATTGTGTATTACATTGCAGCATGAGCCTTGCAGAACATGGACATCCAAACTGTACCACAGACCAAATAGGCTTAACAGCATGTACAAAACTTTCCAGTTAAAAGCAAGAGAATACACAATATTTTTATTTGGATGTGATATATTCTGTTAGGACACATAACAAGTCTTATTAAAGAATACCACCTGGGAGTAGTGGCTGATACATCTAATCCCAACAATTTGGAAGATGAAGGTGGGAGGATCACTTGGGACCAGAAGTTTGATACCAGACTGAATAATATAGTGAGACTCTGTCACTACAAAAAAATCAAAAAATTAGCGAGGCACGGTAGTGCATGTCTGTAGTCTCAGCTACTTAGGAGGAAGAAAAGATCACCTGAGTCAAGGAGACTGAGGTTGCAGTGAGCCAAAATTATGCCACTATACTCCAGCCTGGGTGACGGAGTATGATCCTGTTTCAAAACAACAACAAATAAATATAAGAAAACCAAAATCATACACTGTGTGTTTTCTGACCAAAACTGAATGAAACTAAAAATTAAAAGCAAAAGTAGGCCGGGTGCGGTGGCTCACACCTGTAATGCCAGCACTTTGGGAGGCCAAGGTGGGTGGATCACCTGGGGTTAGGAGTTCAAGACCAACCTGGCCAACATAGTGAAAACCTGTCTCTACAAAAATACAAAAATTAGCCGGGCATAATGGTGGGTGCCTGTAATCCCAGCTACTTGGGAGGCTGAGGCGGGAGTATTGCTTGAACCTGTGAGGCGGAGTTTGCAGTGAGCCAAGATCACACCATTGCACCCCAGCCTGGGCAACAGAGTGAGACTCTGTCTCAGTAAAATAAATAAATAAATAAATAAATAAATAAATAGCAAAAGTAAAACTGTTAAATCCAATAATATATTTGAAAAAAAAAAACACATGGGCCGAGTGTAGTGGCTCACGGCTATAATACTAGCACTTTCAGAGGCCAAGGCAAGAAAATTGCTTGAGTCCAGGAGTTCCAAACTAGCATGGGCAACATAGGAAGACCCTGTCTCTAAAAATAAAAATAAATAAAATAAAAATAAGGCCAAGCATGGTGGCTCATGCCCGTAATCCCAGCACTTCAGGAGGCTGGTGTGGGCGAATCACTTGAGGTCAGGAGTTTGAGACCAGCCTGGCCAACATGTGAAGCCCCGTCTCTACTAAAAATACAAAAGTTAGCCAGGCATGGTGGTGGGCACCTGTAATCCCAGCTACTCAGGAGGCTGAGGCAGGAGAATTCCTTGAACCCGGGAGGCGGAGGTTGAAGTGAGCCGAGACCATGCCATTGCACTCCAGCCTGGATGACAGAGAGAGACTCTGTCTCGAATCAATCAGTCAATCAAACACACTCTTCAGCTAAAGGTTCAAAAAGTTTAATTTAGTTAAGTTGTCAATACAACCTACAGTGGTGAACAAATTCAATATAACCTCTATAAAAATGACAATAGCACAGTTTTATTACACAAATATTGTTTAAAATTTTTAAATTTCATTATGAACTATAGCCAAACACCCATGAAAAAGAATAAACAGGCATTATACTTCCTGATTTTTAAACATATTAGGCAGGGTGCAGTGGCTCACGCCTGTAATGCCAGCACTTTGTGAGGCCAGGGTGGGGGATCACCTGAGCTCAGGAGTTTGAGACCAGCCTGGTCAACATTGTGAAACCCCCGTCTCTACTAAAAATACAAAAATTAGCCAGGCGTGGTAGTGCACGCCTGTAACCTCAGCTACTTGGGGGACTGAGGCAGAATAATCGCTGAAACCCAGGAGGAGGAGGTTGCAGTGAGCTGAGATCGAGCCACTGCACTCCAGCCTGGGCGACAGAGCCAGACTCCATCTCAAAAATAATAATAAAAAATTAGAAGCTACAGTAACAAAAACAGTGTAATATTGACACAAAGGCAGATGAACAGATGAAAGAACAAAATATGGAGCCCAGAAATGAAACCTTTTATATATAATCAAATGATCTACAAAGCTGCCAAGAGGAAACAATAGTCTTTTAAAAAACAATGTTAAAAACTAAATATCAATACTGATAAAATAAGGTTGGATCATTTCTTTGAATCATATACAAAAATATTTTAAGTAAAATACTTAGACATAAAAAAACTAATAAGTCTCTTAGAAAAAAATAGAAAGAAGACATGACATTGGTCTTGGCACCATTTTCTTAGATAAGACACTAAATGCCTGAGGAACAACAACAAAAAATTAACTATGCTATACTTCAAAATTTCTGCACATTAAAACAAAACATTTAACTCAGTGAAAATGCCTCCGAGAAAATGGGTAAGAATATTTCCAAATTACATGTCACAGTTAATATTCAGAATATATAAAAAACCCTTAAAACTAAGTTAAATAACTTGATTTGAAAATTAACAATTGAACTAAATTTTTATCATAAAAGATACACAAATGGAAAAAGCATTTGAAATGACATGCAAAATTAATAATTTGTAGAGAAACACATAAAAATAACAATGAAAAATGAAATCATGTCATACCCATTACAATGGCCACTATAAATTATTTAAAAACACCAAATCTGTTGATGATGCAATGAAAATAAAACCTATGTCAATTGTTGGTAGAAAACAAAGATGCAGTCATTATTTTTAAATGTTATAAATGTTTCTCAAGTAATTAAAAATGGAATTATCATCAAATACAGCAATCCTCTTTATCAATTTAAAATATGCAACACATGACCTGGAAGACATATTTGAACATCCATGTTTATTGTACTAGTATTCACAAAAGCTAAAAGGCTGCAGCAACCCAGGTGTCTCTTGATTTATAAGCATATCAAAAATGTAACATATGTGTAGAGCGAAATATTATTCAGTCTTAAAAAACAAAATCTTGCCAAGCGTGTGACTCACACCTGTAATCCCAGCACTTTGGGAGGCCGAGGATGGCAGATCACCTGAGGTCAGGAGTTTGAGACCAGCCTGACCAACATGGTTAAACCCTCTCTCTACTAAAAATAAGAAAAAAATTAGCTGGGCATGGTGGCACATGCCTGTAGTCCCAGCTACTCGGGAGGCTGAGGCAGGAGAATCGCTTGAACCAGGGAGGCAGAGGTTGCAGTGAGCCGAGATTGCGTCATTGCACTCCAGCCTGGGTGACAGGAGACTCCGTCTCAAAAATAAAAAAAAAAAAAAAAAAGAAAATCTTGTCACATTTTAAGATAAACTTTGAGAATATTATGTCACCTGAAATAAGCCAGTAACGAAATGATGGATACAGTATGATTCCACTGATATGGGATATTTTAATTAGTCACACTCATAAAAACAGAAAGTGGAAGGGTGTTTGTCAAGGGCTGGAAAGAGGGTAAAATGGGTTGCTGTTATTTAATGGGTATTGAGTTTTAGTTTCACAAAATGTAAAATATCTAAGTCTTTTGCATAACAATGTGAATATAATTAACATGCCTGCCTGAAATGTAGAGCTGTGGTTTTTTTTTTTTTTTTTGGAGACACAGTCTCACTCTGTCAAAAAGCTGGAGTGCAGTGGTACAATTATGGCTCACTTCGGCCTCAAACTCTGAGGCTCAAGTAACCCTCCCACCTCAGTCTTGCAAGTAGCCTGAACCACAGATGCACAACACTATGCCTGGCTATTTTTAAAAAACATTTTGTAGAGAGGGACTCTCCATATGTTTCCCAGGTTGGTCTCAAACTTTTGAGCTCAAATAATCCTGGATTACAGATGTGAGCCACCACCATGTCTGGCCCTAAAAGGTACACCTAAATAGATTTAAGATGGTAAATATTATGTGTTTTTACAACAATTAATTTTTCTAAAGGAAAAACTGAAAAAAATACAGATTTATAAATCTTTTCAAAAATTACCTTCAAATTACAAAAGTGTTTCTCTCACACAAAGGTGAGAGAAACATCATCATTAAACACATGGTGAAAATAAGAGATGGTGAAAATATTTCCATGACTACTCACTTAGGTGAGATAAAACAACCACTGAAAATTGGCTAAGAAAGAATATATACAAGATAAGCCATAACCAATATTGGGGTCATATTTATAGATAAACACACACACACATATATATCTAATTGTGACAGACATATGGCTGATTTATCTCTTAATTATAAGAGATAAACCGAATTGCAAACTGTCTAAAATTATAATACAAAAGTGAAACAAAAAAACACAATAACTCAATGTTAAGAAACCTACACTAACAAAACACTGATATGAAACTGCGCAGTAATAGTAAGTGACATATTTACTCATAAAATCTGCTGTGCAACACTGATATACCATTAAAAAAGAATTTGTCTGCATAACTACAGTAATCCTCTCC
This sequence comes from Homo sapiens, assembly GCF_000001405.40. Classification (NCBI taxonomy): domain Eukaryota; kingdom Metazoa; phylum Chordata; class Mammalia; order Primates; family Hominidae; genus Homo; species Homo sapiens. Next base: position 379,226 of record NW_003315962.1, on the reverse strand, counting down.
GGTACTCAATAAACGCCATACTCATTCACATCCTGATATAAGGACCATTATATATGAACCTGACTGCAGAAACCTGCCCTATTGTCTGCTCTACAGATCAAAGTGTTGAAGGATATTCAGTCTGTCCAAAAATAAAATGGGAATTACCACTACCCAAGCCCCTGTAACAAGCCAACTAAAGGTGGACCCTAGTGCAGACCCAGCAGCCTTGTGACCAAGCTACACCCCCTCTCCACTACAAACCCAGAGAGCATTCTATGACCCTGGAGACATGACAGAAAAAGATCTTTACCTACTGAAACCAGTTTATAGAAGCTTGAGGAGTTGTTTGCTCCTTCAAATTCACAGACACTAATGCAAAACTACATTGTGCCCATTGTCAATGCTTCTATTTTAACATAGCACTGGAAGTATGTGGCAGAATAATGAGTCAAAAACATTTTTAAAAAGCCACTGAAATTGAACACAAGTAAAAAGTTGCTGTTTGTGGATCATATGATTTTATATATAAAAAACCATGAACACTACATTGAAATTTGTCTGAATTAATACACTCAGTAAATTAGCAAAACATAAAATTAACACACAAGTATGAAGTTATTGTTCCATACACTTTAACAGAGAAAGAAAACAATTTAAAATAGCATTAAAATGATAAATTTCTGAGAACAAGGAAGTAAAAAATCTTTACAACGAAAGATATGTTATTAATAAAAGAAATTAGAGAAGACACAAATTTAAAAATATTGCATGTCTACAGATTGAAAAAATAAATATTGTTAAAGTGTCCTATTATCTAAGTAATCTATAGATTCAATAAATTCCCTATCAAAATTTCAGTGGCATTTTTCTTCACAGTAATGGAAAATACAATTCTAAAATTTACAAGAAACAACAATAAACTTCAAATAGCCAAAGCAATCGTGAGGAAAAAGAACAAAGTAGAAAGACATGATGCTTTATAATTTCAAACTATATTTCGAGAATATAGTAATAAGAACAGAATGGAGTGTGCAGAAAAGTTAACAACAACAACAAAAAACAGTGGAACAGAAACCACTACTATTACACATTTCAGACATGATGCAAAAAGAGAACTAAGAAAATAGTTTGGCCAGGTGCAGTGGCTCACACCTGTAATCCTAGTACTTTGGGAGGCCAAGGCGGGTGGATCACTTGAGGTCAGGAGTTTGAGACCAGCCTGCCCAACATGGTGAAACCCTGTCTCTACTAAAAATACAAAAAATTAACTGGGCATGGTGGCAGGTGCCTGTAATTCCACCTACTCAGGAGGCTGAGGCAGGAGAATTGCTTGAATCCAGGAGGCAGAGGTTGCAGTGAGCCTAGATCGTGCCATTGCACTTTAGCCTGGGCAACGAGCATGAAACTCAGTCTCAAAAAAAAAAAAAAAGAAAGAAAAAAGAAAAGAAAATAGTTTAACATAGAGTTTCTCAAAATCATGTAGATATTTGTGTGTCCCCCAAAACAATGGAAAAGCAGTCAGATTGTGAGTCTCGCATGCCATGAAGAGGACTTTGGTTCTGATAGCAAACTTGAAGGGAGATCACCAAGGGGAAAGAATCCTTGAATTTAAAAGCATAAGACAGAAGATGACCCTATGCGAGGGCAAAATTAAAAAAAAAAACTCAGGCTTCCCAGAAAATATTTGCTTTGGAACACAGATTCTCAAATAACATTTTAAGCATTGGCTTTCTTCTTTTTTGGACCTCTCATTCATGTCGTCTGTTGTGTTCACTCTCACCTACCTGGGGGTTGATCTACCATCGCATGTCTCTTCATATTCCAGGGCTCTTTTCCTTGCTCTAGACAGGTGATCAGGTCTGGCTTAGAAACAGCAATACCTGCTTTATTGAAAATAAATAACATGAATCTTTCTCATATTCTTCAGTTACCAACCTAGTACTGTGCTTAGTAAAGAGGATGTGGTAGAATATTCTAGAAAATTAATCCTAAAAATACTAATTTATAACAGAAATTTCTAAGTATTTAGAAAATATTTTACATTTGTAGGTTCTTAATTTCACTGCCTGGCATTCATTAATCAAAAATTGGTGGCGGCAAATAGATTTTAAGATATGGGCAACAATATTTTATGCCACTAAATTTCTGGAATTGCCACTAATCTAGAGTGAAGGATACAGATCAGCCCAGGAATGTGGAAAGTTTAAGTCAAGATAAAACTTCTTGAAAAAATTCTTTCCTATATGGAAAAATCCTCAAGGTTTTCTTAAGAACAAGTATCAGAAACTCATTTATGCAAAGCATAAATTACCAAAAATTATTCTCAAAAAATGAGAAATGAAACCTTTAGGGTATACTAGTAATTGTGTACTAAAGTTATTCTCACCCAAGAAGACCAGGTTTCTGTAGTTCTCTAACATCACTTTTCTATACAAATCCTGCTGAGCAGTGTCCAGGCATTGCCACTCCTCCAGAGAAAATTCTATGGCCACATCCCTAAATGTCAATGGCCCCTGAAAAACACAAGCACACAAGACACACGTATATTTACCAAGTGGCCACGGGCAGAATTTATTATTTGAATTAAAGTGAAATGACAGAATAAAGAGAATTGGTTCTGATTTGCAGGAATGACTGAAATTATCCAATAATTTTTTTTTTTTTTGAGACAGAGGCAACCTCTGCATCCCGGCGTCAAGCGATTCTCCTGCCTCAGCCTCCTGAGTAGCTGGGATTACAGGCATGCACCACTACATTCGGCTAATTTTGTATTTTTAGTAGAGACGGGGTTTCTCCATGTTGGTCAGGCTGGTCACGAACTCTCAACCTCAGGTGAGCCACCCGCCTTGGCCTCCCAAAATGCTGGGATTACAGGCATGAGCCACCATGCCCGGCCCCAATAATTTTTCACACAGAAATATTATCTAATGTTTTCTCTAACTCTGAGAGAAGAGAATGGCATAAGATCCATAACACCAGTATATATATGATACTTCTCTGGATGAGAAGCATAAAATTAAGGGCATAAACAAAAATTTGTACACTTCGAGTGCTATATTTACATCATAAAGTTTGAGTTGTGTATATTTTTCAGACAAAAAAGACATGTTGAGTTCGAAGGTACCTCTCAACTTTAAAGGTGAACAATAAACTGGAGATTCTGTTGTGCAGACTTTTTTTCTTCAGAAGATCTGGAGTAAAGTCTGAACTTCTAAATTTCTTTCTTCTTTTTTTTTTCTTTGAGATGGAGTTTTGCTGTTGTTGCCCAGGCTGGAGTGCAATGACACCATCTCGGCTCACTGCAACCTCCGCCTCCTGGGTTCAAGCAATTCTCCTGCCTCAACCTCCCAAGTGGCTGGGATTACAGGCATGTACCACCATGCCCAGCTAATTTTGTATTTTTAGTAAAGACGGGGTTTCTCCATGTTGGTCAGTCTGGTCTCGAACTCCTGACCTCAGGTGATCCGCCCACCTCGCCCTCCCAAAGTGCTGGGATTACAGGTGTGAGCCACCACACCCAGCCAACAAATTTTTATGATGTGCTGATGCACATAGAAGAACACGGCATCACTGCTAAGATATTGCCCCTCAAACAGTAAATTATAATCTGAATGCAACCATAAAGATACATCAGTTTTATACAAAGTTCAAAATACAGATATCTCCCATGTTCTGTTATTTTTAACAGTGATTTTAAGTAGTCTTTCTTTAGCACCCTAGAGAGCAGGTATCTCCTAATAATTTTTTTCAGAACTTTCTGGGTAATAAATGGTATTCTGTTTAAATAAGCATTTTCTTAATCCTGTTCTGCATAGAGTTAATAGAGAAAACAGATGAAACCTCAACATTACATATTCTCCATCTTTACTAGGGACCCCAGCTTTCCCCCAATAGGAATCTTGAGTATCTACATCTCCCCATGTTTAACAGCCACAAAGGGAACATTTTTAGTAGTGCCGATTATAAATTTATGGTAGGAATTCTGCGTGGCATATAAGAAGCCATGATGTAGAGAATGTAGAGAAAGCTCTGGTATATAGTAAAGAAATGTTTTGCAGACAGCCTTGAATATTATAAGAATTTTTTAATGTAGTTAAAACAAACTCCTTAAGAAGGAAAAACACAAATCGAGAAGTAAAGATTTGCAAGTACTAAACACATGGCATTCCATGAAGCAGAGTGCACACAGCTCTTCTTCTGAGACACGTTTAGCTGAAAAAAAGCCATTTTTTCTCTTTCTTTCTCTGAAAATCCTTTTTAGATAACATTCTCTGGACAAGTTATACCTGCATTTTGAGAACGTTCCTTTAAAAATGTCAGCACCACCTTTTTGTCTGCTACCATCACGCACACAAACAGAAGGAAGGTCCTGCAGAAAAAGTCCACCCATTTCTCTGTCCTTTATAACAGAAAGGATTCAGGAACAACGAGCTGCTCTATGAATATAAAAGTATGTTTCTCTTTTCCTGTCCTTAGGTGCCCTCCTCTGCCACAGACACCAGCAATTTCTGCTACAGTAATGGAAATATGAGCCACACTCCCCTGTCCCTACCAAACCCAAACAGAACGGGCCCTGAGACCACCCTTTAGTGCAAAGGTGGCACTTAGCTCTCATGAATGTATATTGAAGCCCTCATACTTGATTCTGGCCTCACCTTAGAGTCACATGAGGCACTTCATTAAAACAACATGGATGCTTCCACCCAGAACAATAAACGAAATCCATGGAAAGGGCATAAGTACAGAGATTTCTGCCATGTAATCCTAATTAGAAGACTGGGCAGAGGCCGGGCGCGGTGGCTCACACTTGTAATCCTGGCACTTTAGGAGGCCGAGGCACATGGATGACCTGAGGTCAGGAGTTCAAGATCAGCCTGGCCAACATGGTGTAACCTCATCTCTACTAAAAACACAAAAAATTAGCCAGGAATGGTGGCGGGTGCCTGTAATCCCAGCTACTCAGGAGGCTGAGGCATAAGAATGGCTTGAACCCAGGAGGCGGAGGTTTCACTGAGCCGAGATTATGCCATTGCACTCCAGACTGGGTGACAGAGTGAGATCCTGTCTCAAAAACAGAAAACAAAACAAAACAAAAAAAACAAGACGGGGCTGATAACCACTTAGCTAAGCACTGCCTCTCAAACTTTAATGAGCTTAAAACTCGTTTGGTAATTTTGGCCCCACTCTACGTAATGTGGATCTGCAAGTTTGAAAAGGGTTCATGAATGCGTGTTTCAAACAAGTTCCCTGTCAATGCTGATGTTGTTCCCCCTGGGCTCATTAGCATTAGTTAGAGAAGCAGGTACAGCACAGAGTCCCTTACACTTAGCACTCTTGTCACAACACAAATACTTCTGGTACAAATAAAACCAATCTCCATCTTAAATTTTTATATTCTTCGCTGGCTCTTTAAAGTTTACAGAACAAACAGAAGGCGGCAATGTCTGAATAAATCTGCCTTTGGAAAATAACATGTACACATATACAAATGCAATGTTTATTAAGCAGGTACTATGTGCTCAAGGATATGTTACAGAGCACTGTGCTGGGAATAACACATTTTGTGATTTAATCCTAATAACACCCTGGAAGTTGATACTAAGTGTTCAATAATTCCCAGGACTTAGATAAAGGGTTCAGCATTTTTATTTCTCCCTCTGTTTCTCTGTCATTGATTTTGTTTTAAAGGTATAGAATAAAAGTTAAATACAGGCAGATGAGAAGAACATAGAAAAAGTTTAATGTAGTTTAGAGAAATTTTTATTGTGTATACATTTACTTGTTTGTGGCTTGTGGAGCAACTGCTAGATTGGCAGAAACAGAAAACAAGGTGCTAAATGGAATGTTTCTGTAAGCACTGGTTTTAATACAAATTCAAAAAATAAGATCCTAAAATAAATAGTTTATTTCTGTCATTTATCTGTTTTTGGGTTTCAGAAAATTGTGAGCACCAGCTCTAGAAAAGCAGCAGGACTCACCAGACAAAACTCCAGTCTTTTTTTTTTTAGATGGAGTCTCGCTCTGTCACCAGGCTGGAGTGCAGTGGCACAATCTTGGCTCAATGCAACCTCCGCCTCCCGGGTTCAAGCGATTCTCCTGCCCCAGCCTCCTGAGCAGCTGGGATTACAGGCATGTGCCACCACGCCCGGCTAATTTTTGTATTTTTAGTAGAGACGGGGTTTCACCATGTTAGTCAGGCTGGTCTCAAACTCTCGACCTCATGATCTGTCTGCCTCGGCCTCCCAAAGTGTTGGGATTACAGGTGTGAGCCACCACACCCAGCCAAAACTCTGATTTTTATAAATCAGTTTTGTGAGGTAAGGCTCCAGAGCGGGGCCAGACATAAATAAGGCCTCCAAAAAACGTGAATCTGAACAGAATTTGGGCAGGGAAAGGACCCTATGTAGAATTATGTTCTCTCTGCCACCAAGGTATTTCCAGTTCTGTTTTTCCTAAGCTTACATAAGAGAATCTTAAATCCCAGAGCTTATGTAACTTTAATCTATTTTTGCCACTGCCCTGTCAATTTTATAACATATACTAATAAGCAATTTAAACAAATTTATTAAAGTTCTTTAGAATAATTATACTAGAAGATAAATATATATTCTTAGCAAAGTAAAGGAAACACAAATAATAACAAATCTTCACTCCATAAATATCTCCTCAGCTGATGGTATCAGAAGTAACAATATAAAACAGTGGCCCCAATTTTTTTTGGACACATCTATTCATTGTACCAACCATATAATGCTTAATTCACCCATGTATCCAGTTGTTAGTCTAGACATGTTCCTGGATAGTAAGGATCATGACTGCTTCATCTGTTTTTTGAATGGCCATATAAAATGAAAACAATTACTTTATCTGTTTGAGTCACCAGACCTCCTATTGCTTTCATCCAAGTATCAGGAAACTTGAGAAACTCTCATCTGGGTACCAACCAAAGTTATCTCTTGTATAAGGGGAGAAAAAAACACAGAATTGCCAGGCATGGTGGCTCACACCTGTGATCCCAGCATTTTGGGAGGCTGAGGTGGGCGGATCACAAGGTCAGGAGTTCAAGACCAGCCTGTGCAATATGGTGAAACCCTGTCTTTATTAAAAATGCAAAAATTAGCCAGGCATGGTGGCAAGTGCCTGTATTCCCAGCTATTTGGGAGGCTGAGGCAGAAGAGTCACTTGAACCCGGGAGGCGGAGGTTGCAGTGAGCCGAGATCGCGCCACTGCACTCCAGCCTGGGCGATAGAGCAATACTCCGTCTAAAAAAAGAAAAAAAACCCTAAAAAAACCACACACACACAGAATGACTCATTTCTCTTACACCAAGCCAGAAGCAGAATTAACCACTCTTGTCAGCCTGACACAATTCTGCCCTGGACATCCTCAAATGTCTCAAAGACGTCTAGGTGATTGTGAGAGGGTTCTTAGTGACCCTGGGCTGATGGCCCAATGATAATCCAGGCTGGAGAGATTCAGGCTGATTCTAAATAGAAAATGGCCTGGTGGAGCTCCAGAACCTAATCACTTGTCCCAATTTGCTAGCTTTTGGGTAAGGAGAAAGACAAGAATACTCTACTCCAGTATCACATTTTACAGGTAGGTATAGTTGTGGTCATGGCTATGGATACATTATGACTTTGATATCTCACTCTTAAAATGCTGATTCTGTCATCAGATTCTATTTATATCTGGAGCCTCTCACATAACTGTGGCAAATCACTGAACAAGATCTGAAAAGCTTAAAGAACCACACTGTCAAAGGGGGCTTTAAGATGTCTATGTTGACAACTCACAATGGAGAAAATGCCTCCTGTTGGTTTTCTGTACATTCTCAACCTAAAGTCTGGCCGTGTCCTGTAAATCCCAGGAAGAGGCCAGACCTTATGTGCAGATTCTAGGTAGGATCAACCACACTCTGCATTCTTGGGTGTTACAGCAAGTGGAGTACAATCAAAGGAGAGATCCCCTCATAGAGGCTGCTCTAGCTCATTCTACGTGATATGACTACCTAAAAGGAAAAAGCTGAGGCAACATGAATATAAGAGTTTATTTGGGCCAAGCTTGAGAATAGTAACCTGGGAGCAAAGACACATTTTCCAGAGACTGAACAAATAAGAAACTGAATCCCTGAATAGACCAATAACAAGCTCCAAAATTGAATTAGTAAGAAATAGCCTACTAGCCAAAAAAAAGCAAAGAACCAGACAAATTCCTAGCTGAACTCTACCAGATGTACAAAAAAGAGCTAGTACCACTTCTACTAAAAATACTTCAAAATATTGAAAAGAAAGGACTCCTTTTCAACTCATTATATATAAGAATAGCATCATTCTGATATCAAAACCTGGCAGAGATTAAAAAAAAAAGAAAACTTCAAGCCAATATCCTTGATGAACATTGATGAAAATACCATCAACAAAATACTGGGAAACTGAATTCAGAAGAACATCAAAAAGCTAATCCACTATAATCAAGTAGGCTGCATCTCTGGGAGGCAAGTTGGTTCCATATACAATCAATAAATGTTATTCATCACATAAAGAGAACTAATAACAAATACCAAGATTATCTCAATAGATGCTAAAAATACTTTCAATATAATTTAACATTTTTCATGTTTAAAACCCTTAACAAACTAGGCATTGAAGGTATATACTTCAAAACAATGAGACATCAACGACAAACTTACAGCCAACACACTGAATGGACACAAGCTGGAAGCATTCCTCCTTGAAAACTGGCACAAGATAAGGATGCCTTCTCTCAAACATCCTATTCAACATAAAATTGGAAATCCTGGCCAGAGCAATCAGAGAAGAGATGAAAATAAAAGGCATCTGCCGGGCATGGGGGCTCACGCCTGTAATCCCAGCACTTTGGGAGGCTGAGGTGAGCAGATCACGAGGTCAAGAGATCGAGACCATCCTGGCCAACATGGTGAAACCCCGTCTCTCCTAAAAATACAAAACTTAGCTTGGCATGGTGGCATGTGCCTGTAGTCCCAGCTACTCAGGAGGCTGAGGCAGGAGAATCGCTTCAACCTGGGAGGCGGAGGTTGCAGTGAGCCGAGATCACACCACTGCACTCCAGCCTGGCGAGAGCAAGACTCTGTCTCAAAAAAAAAAAAAAAAAAAAAAAGAAAAGAAAAGAAAAAAGGCATCCAAACAGGAAGAAAGGAAGTCTAACTATCCCTGTGTGCAGATGACATGATTCTATATCTTCAAAACCCTATAGTCTCAGCAGGAAAGCTCTTTAAACTAATAAACAACTTTAGCAAAGTTTCAGGATACAAAATACACGTACAAAAATCAGTAGAATCTCTGTACATCAAAACATCCAAGCCAAAAGCCAAATCAAAAACATAATCCCATTCACAATTGCCACAAAAAGAATAGAATATCTAGGAATACAGCTAATCAGAATGGTGAAAGATCCCTATGACAAGAATCACAAAACACTGCTTAAAGAAGTCAGAGATTGGCCGGGCACGGTGGCTCACGCCTGTAACCCCAGCACTTTGGGAGGCTGGGGCAGGCAGATCACAAGGTCAGGAGTTTGAGACCAGCCTGATCAACATGGTGAAACTCCATCTCTACTAAAAATACAAAAACTGGCCAGGCGTGGTGGCGTGCGCCTATAATCCCAGCTACTCAGAAGGCTGAGACAGGAGAATAACTTGAACCTGGGAGGCGGAGGTTGCAGTGAGCTGAGATCGTGCCACTGAACTCCAGCCGGGGCAACACAGTGAGACTCCGTCTCAAGAAAAAAAAAAAAAAGTCAGAGATTACGGCCAGGCATGATGGCTCATGCCTGTAATCCCAGCACTTTGGGAGGCCGAGGCAGGTGGATCATGAGGTCAAGAGACGGAGACCATCCTGGTCAACATGGTGAAACCCCGTCTCTACTAAAAATACAAAAATTAGATCCAGGAGTGCATCCAGAGGAAACCATGCCATGGATCTGGGGCCCACATTACTATCTCATAAAAAGTGTGATGACCAGGTTTATGGATCACTCTGTTCTCAATGACAGAAACTTCAGTCTGTATTAAGAAGATATGGCTGCAGAAAGACAAGATGAATTGTGGAAAGAGTACAAAGAGGGGGAAAGTAGGAGGTTTCCCAGTTCCAATGGCTGACTAATGGGAGGAGGAGATGGAGAAAGCAGAGTAAACTGATTGGACTGAAAAAAAAAAAAAAAAAAGTACAAAAATTAGCCAGGCATGGTGGTAGGCGCCTGTAATCCCAGCTACTGGGGAGGCTGAGGCAGGAGAAATACTTGAACCTGGTAGGTGGAGGTTGCAGTGAGCCGAGATGATGCCGTTGCACTCCAGCCTGGGCAACAGAGTGAGACTCCGTCTCAGATAAAAAAAAAAGGAGAAATGTCAGAGGTGTATTGAATCAGGGCAAATCCATTTCGAATAGGGGCTGGGTAAAATGAGGCTGAGACCTATGGGGCTGCACTCCCAGATGGTTAGGCATTCTAAGTCACAGGATGAGACAAGAGTTCAGCACAAGATACAGGTTATAAAGATCTGGGTGATAAAACAGGTTGCAGTAAAGAAGGTGGATAAAACTCACCAAAACCAAGATGGGATGAGAGTGACCTTTGGTGGTCCTCACTGCTACACTCCCACCAGTGCCATGACAGTTTACAAAATGCCATGGAGACATCATGGAAACATCAGAAAATGACTTTATATTGTCTAATTGGGAGGCAAAAATAATCCACCCCTTGTTTAGCATATAATCAAGAAATAACCATAAAAATGGGCAACCAGCAGCCCTCAGGGCTGCTCTGCCTATAGAGTAAGCCATTCTTTTATTCCTTCTGTTTCCTAATAAACTTGCTTTTACTTTACTCTGTAGACTCACCCTGAATTCTTTCTTGAGCGAAATCCAAGAACCCTCTCTTGGGGTGTGGATTGTGACCCCTTTCCGATAAGAACTCTGCACATTTTCTTTTTCTCATTTAAAAAAATCAGCTGAATTTGTCTTCAGTGGTCTAAATAAAATTTTTCACAGGCTCCTGAACTTGGAGCTACCCTCAATCTGAGCCAATATACAACTCCATTTTATGTCCCTCCTAAGAACATGCTGACTTCAGGGTAAAACATTCTCTGATCTAAAATCTGATTATTTCACCCTTCATTTGTCAGTCACCTCCAACTTCTTTTTTTTTTTTTTAAGATGGAATCTGGCCCTGTCACCCAGGCTGGAGTGCAGTGGCGCGATCTAGGCTCACTGCCAGCTCCACCTCCTGGGTTTACGCCATTCTCCTGCCTCAGCCTCCCGAGTAGCTGGGACTACAGGCGCCCGTGACCACGCCCGGCTGATTTTTTTGTATTTTTAGTAGAGACGGGGTTTCACCATGTTAGCCAGGATGGTCTCCATCTCCTGACCTCATGATCCGCCTGCCTCGGCCTCCCAAAGTGCTGAGATTACAGGTGTGAGCCACAGCATCCGGCCGTCTCCAACTTCTAATTTTGTTTGCTCCTCCCCATGAAAGAAAGCCCTTTTCTGCCTAAACTTTGCAATCCTTAAGGTTCTTACAGTTGGTATTTCCTCCTGTTGCAATAGTCCTTTGGAATTCAAATTTTTAACATAAATCTAACTTTGTTAGGTATTACAAAGTCTAGAAACTGCCTTCAAACATTAACAACTTTATCATCAGTAAGACCCTCTCAATCTCCTACCATCTTAACCTTAACTGCATCTGCCTGTGGGTCCCCACCTTTCCAGGACTCTGTAGCTTCTCTCAGCAGAAAAGCTTCTTCCACAGCTAGAGTGAGCAGGCTAGGACATCTGCAGGGGAGGCTCCCCAGAAAAAAAACTAACTGGGCCTGTAATAAACTCCTTTTGCAGGCTCAATATTAGCCTTAGCTCTGAGTCACTGGGCTCAAGCTTTAATTTCTATGTTAGAGTTACTCACTTGGTTTTTGAAACTATGTGTTTGAAAAATCTAGCAAAATTAGTCACAGTGTTCATACAAGGGAAGGAAATTTTAAGGTGTTTGCAATTTATACCTCAATAAAAAAAGCAAAATATCTATTTCTTTCACATAATGTATGCATTATTTTATGAATTCCATTAAGAATCATTTAGTAAACAGTTAGTCATATGGGAAAACTTCTAGGTGGTACCAAGTTTCATCTCATAAAATTTAGCATGAAACTCAGAAATCAAGATAACAGGATTTGAACAGAGATGTTTACTGTCACAAATTTACCCTGCAGAGAGAGAAACTCATGTTTTCATGAATGTATGTAACTCACCAATTATCTACCACATTTTCTTGTAGAAATGTATTTATTTTCTACAAAAAAATGGAACAGAGATTTTCCCTACTCATTTCCTTGGTAGCATTCTAAAAGCTGAGCCTTAGAATTCTGTTTGAAATCACCCAGCCATAAAAAACACACCTGAGAAAATTCCTAAACTCACCCTGGGGGTAAAAAGGGAATAGAGAATTTTTAATGAATGGAATATATTATTAGATACTATTTTTTTTCTTAAACCCACCACTTTTATGCCTTTGGTAAATATTTTCCTACCTTTCAAGCCCTACTAATAGAATTTACAGCTAAAAAACTGAGGTTAAAATAAATGAACAAATCTTTTCAAGGTGACAAACCCAGGGAGTGGCAGTGCTGATGAAAAAACAGATGTGTCTGACTCATGTTTCAAGTCAGGCCATTCAATCACTTCAAACAGTCTTCCACCCACTCCTGCTCACTTATGTGCTCAAGAACCACCCACTCAGGAGATACCACACTATGCCCCAGTGACTGTCCCACGGGCATTTAACTTTGCAAGTTCTTACGCCATCTCACTGGGGTCAGTGTTTTTCTTTTTCTTTTTGTCTTTTGGGATACTATTTTTTCTGTCACAAATGTTCCACTTTTTTCCACTATTTTACTTTCACTATAGTTATTTCACTATTTTTCTGCCCCCTTAGACAATCCAGAGGCAAAAATTATTTGTTTTCCCCTCAATGCCACAGTCTGATTGGTTGACCAGCAATGTGTCTCCAAGAAATGAAAGCTGGGTTGGGTGAAGACAATTTTAACATCTCAAGGGGTTACCTTTTCATAAAAAGAGTACACCAGAAGATTCCTGTCAGCCCCAGGGCATCCACTTGCTTCCTTGAGAGGATACACTCCAGACTTCAGGTTCTCCTATGGGAGAAAATAACCCAGAAGCTGATATCCACTAGACACTCTAACTGACATAACCATGGCGGATATCTTGGTTTATCCCCAGACAATACTGAAACCCAGGACCAGAAAAAAACTGAAGGGTGACTGAGGACACAACACCCCATAAAGTTTCCAAAGGAAAACCCTGACCCAAAAACATCCTGAGACAAGATCTCTGTGCCCAGAGAAGATACAAGGAGAAGAAGCACAGAGAGTTTTTACAACACAGTGTCAGGGGATTATTCTTTGCTTTCTTCACATGGGAAATATTTACAAACAGATAACAAATCTTATTAAAAGCACCATTTAATACTTTGTCAGAAAATAACTAATTAAAATACGGTGTAAAAAATGTACACTAAAGGACAAATAGGTGATAATGTGAATTAGGTAGGAAAAGTTGGCATTTGGGAACGCCAGAAAGAACTGGAAATTTAGTATCTTACTGCAAGCCAGAGTGAGGCTGGAGAAATGGGGGACGGGGGTTAGACTTAAGACCCTGCTTGGGACACAGGTGAAAAATGCAGCAGAAAATCAGTTCCCCGTGGAGTGTGAAAATAATTGAGTGGCAGGCAATTAGACTGAGGTGTCTCTAGACCCTGGGTTCCTACTTTTAAAAAGATCTAACGTGGCTGGGCGTGATAGCTCACGCCTGTAATCCCAGCATTTTGGGAGGCCAAGGCAGGCGGATCACCTGAGGTCAAGAGTTCGAGGCCAGCCAGGCCAACATGGTGAAACCCCGTCTCTACTAAAAGTACAAAAATTAGCTGGGCAGGGTGGCAGGCGCTTGTAATTCCAGCTACTCAAAAGGCTGAGGCAGGAGAAGCTTGAACACAGGCAGCGGCAGAAGTTGTAGTGAGCCGAGATTGTGCCACTGCACTCCAGCCTGGGCGACAAGAGCGAGACTCCATCTCAAAAAAAAAAAAAAAAAAAAAAAAAAAAAATCTAACTCAGGCGCATCGTTTTGAAAATTACTACATTGAAAGACACAAAATTCAGGCTTAATCAACTGTATACTGCCAATTAAGGTCTGATTACACAACCAGAAAATTTTCACCTTTATTGTACAAACTAAGAAACTACATAACGGTACCTAACCAATTACTGAATTTGGCTTTCTTCATCATGCACCTTATAAAAGTCTTTCCTTCAAGCCCCGCCATGAACAACAAATTACAAACCACAGCTGGGTGCTCAACAGTTTTTTAATCACTCTTTGATTAATTTCTTTAATATTTTTGTGGTGACTTCTGTACATTTTTTTTTTCCGAGACGGAGTCTTGCTCTGTTACACAGGCTGTAGTGCAGTGGCGCTATCTCGGCTCACTGCAATCTCCACCTCCCAGGTTCAAGTGATTCTCCTGCCTCAGTCTCCCAAGTAGCTGGGACTACAGGCGTGTACCACCATGCCCGGCAAATTTTTGTATTTTTAGTAAAGACGGGGTTTCACTATGCTGGCCAGGCTGGTCTTGAACTCTCCTGACTTAGTGATGCGCCCGCCTCGGCCTCCCAAAGTACTGGGATTACAGACGTGAGCCACCCCTCCCGGTCTGTACATTTTTAATAGGAGAAAAGAGGAACTAGGAACCCAGGACCAAAGTTCTTCCCATTCATGAACTCGCACCCCAAGTCAGGATTCTCCCGTGACGATTCTCCCGTGACGATCCTCCCGTGGTCCCTGCACAGTCTGGGAGAGACGCGGCGCTGCGGATGCAGAGCTGCCCAGAGAGGGCTCCAGGCCAGGGCACAGTCACTGCGCAAGGAAGAGACGGGACGTGCTGGGGCCCGCCTGTCAGCGCAGCCGCCATCTTAAGGCTGATGGGGACTGAGGCCCAGCTGGGCAAGAACTCGGGGCGCAGATTGTGCAGCTGACTGCCGGGAGGCCTGAGTCCCGCCACAGCCACTTCCCACCCATTACAACCAGCCCCTCCCCTCTCTGGGGATGTCGGACCCGGCACTCTCACCATTTCTAGGCTTCCAGGGGTTCCTGGCGTCTTAGCTGTAGATCTCCCAATACCTGCGGGTCACAGGGCCACAGAGCCTGGACCTCTAGGAGCAGAGGACACAGAGCGCTGAAGACGAGACCTGGAGCTCAGGCCACAGCGAGGGACAAAGGCCCCGCCAAACCCGGAAGCCGCCCTGTCCGCTTCACCTGCGTGCCTGATTGGACGGTTCCCTGCCTAGCGTCTCTGATTGGATAACATTTAAATCCCCGCCCCCTCAGGCCATGATTGACGGAAGATGTGATGAGATGCGGGGCTGAAAGAAGAGTGACAGCTTGGGCTGCATCCTTCTCTGACAGGGCTTCCTCCCTGAGCTGAGCCAGGCCCACCCCAGAGGTTATTTGCATTTAACCTTGTGTGTAAGGTCATATGCATTTATAAATAATATATGGGGCCGGTCACGGTGGCTCACGCCCGTAATCCCAACATTTTGGAAGGCTGAAGCGGGCAGATGACCTGAGGTCGGGAGTTAGAGACCAGCCTGACCAACATGGAGAAACCCAGTCTTTATAAAAAATATAAAATTAGCGGGTTGTGGTGGCCCATGTGTGTTATCCCAGGTACTCGGGAGGCTGAGGCAGGAGAACCGCTTGAACCTGGGAGGCGGAGGTTGCGGTGAGCCGAGATTGTGCCATTGCACTCCAGCCTGGGCAACAAGAGCACAACTCTGTCTAAAATATATATATATATATATATATATATATTTATTTATATATATTTATTTATATATATTTTTATATATTTATTTATATATATTTTATATATTTATATATGTATTTATTTATATATTTATATATTTATATATTTATTTATATATATTTATATATATTTATTTATATATATTTATATATATTTATTTATATATATTTGTATATATTTATTTATATATATATTTATATATATTTATATATTTATTTATGTATTTATATACATTTATATATATTTATATATATTTATATTTATATAATTATATATATTTATATATTTATATATATTTATATATATATTTATATATTTATATATATTTATATTTATATACTTATATATATTTATATATTTATATATATTTATATATATTTATATATTTATATATATTTATATATTTATATATATTTATATATAAATATTTATATATTTATATATATATATTTATATATTTATATATTTATATATATATATTTATATATTTATATATATTTATATTTATATATTTATATATTTATATTTATATATTTATATGTATATATTTATATATATTTATATTTATATTTATATATTTATATTTATATATATTTTTTATATTTATATTTTTATATATTTTTATATATTTATATATTATACATATTTATATTTATATATATTTATGTTTTTATATATATTTATATTTTTATTTTTATATATTTTTATATATATTTATATTTATATATATATAGTGGCTATTCAAAAATGAAAAGAATGTAACAATAATTATTTTAAAATTTCAGATTTTATGACCTTCCCGGCTAAAGGAGGCAGCCTCAGATTTTAAAAAGATGGTAATCTTCTGAAATAAAATGTGAGCCACATGTGAATCTTAAATTTTCTAGTAGACAAACTTGAAAAAGAAACAAGGAACAGGTTGAATTGATTGTAACAATTTAACCCAATATGTCCATAATATTATCATTTTAATGTGTGAGGAATGTGTAATTATTAATAATGTATATAAACATTTGAAACTAAATCTTTGAAACTAACTCTGTATTTTACCTTTCTAGCACATCGCAGTTCAGACCAGCCACATTCCAGTCACTCAGGAGGCACACGTGGCCAATAGCTGCCACATTGAAGTTCAGCTCTGATGTCAGGGGGGTGAATGAACTGAACATCCCTTTTCTGCCAGAAGTGAAGGCAGAGTCTCTCCCTACCAATATCTTTCTTCAGTTCTAAGGGTGGAACAGATAGTGGCCATAAAAAGAGCAGATGGCAGCAGGAGTAAAATAACCACAGGTAGACCACTGCTGGCCACCTGTTGCCCACTTTTCTTCCAGAGATCAGACAGTGAAGAAAGAATGTTGGGGCCACAGGATAATAAAACTCTGTGTCTTCAGATCTGTCCACACTCTTGACCTCAAATGTTTAGATATGGAGAAAACAGATTAAAGGCAAAACTTATTTTGCTATTGGCCTTGGCCCTACTAGTCAGGCTGTAGTTACCTGTTTTCTCCTGTGGTGTGTGGGACTGTGTGGGTATAAGCACCAATCACATGCATACATGTCTACCTGTATTTCTGCATTACTCAACATTCTCTTACAAGTCACCCAACTTTAAATCAGGGGAAAAAATCAGTACCTATAGGGTGCCCACTGTTAGAACATAACTAGTAATCAACCTGTCATTGAATCCTGGCATCCTATCTGCACTGGGTGCATGTATTAGTTAGCTATTGCAGCATAACAAATCATCCAAAACTTATTAGTTCATAATCGAGATGGTCAGCCATTTAGGTTGGGCTCAGTGGGGCCATTCTTCTGGTTTCAGCTGAGCTCCTTCAGTCATATGTCGTCAGCTGCTTGTTGACTAGGCAGCTGTGCTTCTGGGGGTGATGTTCTGCTTCTGGGGTTGTCAATAGGGACACCTTGCTTCTCCTCCCCATGATACCTTATTTTCCAGCTGGCTAACATGGGCTTTTTTCCAAGGTGATGTCAACATTCTAAAAGAAAAACAGAAGCACTCAAGACCATTTGAGCCTAGGTCCCAAACTAGCTCATTGCCATGTTCACAGGTTTCTACTGCCCTGAGCAAATAAGGCCAGCCTGATCTAGGGTTTGGAAAACAGATTCTGAATCTTGATGGAAACAACTGTAAAAGCATCTGGCATTGGGCATGGATACAAGGGGGATGAAAAATTGCTACCATTTTGCAAACACGGTGGCTCAGACCTGTAATCCTAGCACTTTGGGAGGCTAAGATGGGAGAATTATGTGAGCTCAGGCGTTCCAGTGCAGCCTGAGCAACATAATAAGATTTTGTTTCCATTAAAAAAATGAAAAAATTAGCCAACCATGGTGGTACATGCCTATAGTCCCAATACTTAGGTGGCAGAGGCAGGAGGATTGCTTGAGTCTGGAAGGTCAAGGCTGCAGTAAGCCATGATTGGCTGCACCACTGCCATCCACACTGGGTGGTAAAATGAGACTCTGTCTCAAAAAAAAAAAAATATTGGAGAAGCATTTCGAAGACAGAATAATTTGAGGAAATAGCTGAGGGATGAGTTTAGAAAATCAAAGCCCAACAGCACATTATTTATTTTTATCATTGAAAATATTTGAGCTGGCACTGTGGCTCACGCCTGTAATCCCAACACTGGGAGGCTGAGGCAGGCGGATCACGAGGTCAGGAGATCGAGACCATCTGGCTAACACGGTGAAACCCCGTCTCTACTAAAAATACAAAAAATTAGCTGGGCATGGTGGCGGGCGCCTGTAGTCCCAGCTACTCGGGAGGCTGAGGCAGGAGAATGGCGTGAACCTGGAAGGCAGAGCTTGCAGTGAGCTGAGATCATGCCACTGCACTCCAGCCTGGGTGACAGCGCGAAACTCTGTCTCAAAAAAAAATTTTTTTTGAAAACTAGGCTGTGTGCGGTGGCTCATGCCTAATCCCAGCACTTTGGGAGGCTGAGGTGGGTGGATCACCTGAGGTCAGGAGTTCGAGATCAGCCTGACCACCATGAGGAAACCCTGTCTCCACTAAAAATACAAAATTAGCCGGGCGTGATGGCACATGTCTGTAATCCCAGCTACGTGGGAGGCTGAAGCAGGAGAATCGCTTGAACCTGGGAGGCTGAGGTTTCAGTGAGCCAAGATCGCACCACTGCACTCCAGCCTGGCCAACAAGAGTGAAACTCCATCTCAAGAAAAAAAAAAGAGAGAGAGAGAGAAGAAAATATTTGAAAACTTTTAAAAGAGAAAAACTTTAAAATTTTAGAGAAATTAAATTCAACAGAGTTTAATAGAGCATAGAATGATTTGCAAATTGGGCAGCCTGTGGATCCAGAGTAGGCTCAGAGAGACTCTGGCAAAGCCACATTATGAAAACAGGTTTGTGGATGGAAAAAGCAAAGTGACATACAGAAAATAGAAGTGAGGTACAGAAACAGCCAGATTGATTACAGGTTGGGATTTGCCTTATTGAAACATAATTTGAACACTTGATGTCCTTTTATTGGCAAAAACACAGTGGTTGGTACAATAATGGATTACAGTCTATTTATATATCCAGTTAGGTTTCAGTTTACAATGTTTAAAAAAAAACCTAGTGACCAAAGTTAAACAGAAAAGGGAGCAGCTTTAGGCATAATTAATTTAACAATTTCTCCCTTTTGATCATCTTCTCAATTTTGAGAGCTAGAACAAAGCTTTAGACATTGATATTATTCTGTCACCATCAAAAATCTACTTATTTATTCTCAAATCCCATTGTGAAATAGCAGAACTGTAGCTTTTGTAAAGTGGAAACAAGGACTTCAGGTTATTATTTTTTTTTAAGGGTTACAGTACAGGTGACCTCCTTGTGTTGAAATCTGCTGTTTTCAAAAGAATAACCAAACCTGGCCTGTTTTAGGATCTACCTATTTCCTTACATTTTCAGTTTGATTATGTCACATTTAGCATGAGTGACTCCATTTGATTTGGTTTGGTCTCTTTGGGCGTAATGCACAAGCTCAATCCAGAATGATGGCCTTCAATAATGTTGTTTATAAAATTCCCCCCTTTTGGTTAAGTTCTCACATAGGTAAGAGTGTGACCAAAACTTTGTCTTAATGCCACTCTCAGTTTCCATTACCTTTAGTTTTTGTCCTTATCAGGTCATTCATAGGTTATGGTGTCCTCATGGTCACATATGCATTTGAGTTTTTGTGATTGCTGTTAAAGAGAGATCATTTGACATTCTAGAGATAACTGCATACAAACATTTATAACTTTTGAGAGAATACAATGCAGTAGGGAGACTACTATTTCGACTATAAGAAAGATAATAACAAGAGTTTCAAGTATGCTTTTTTTTTTTTTTTGAGATGGAGTCTTGCTCTTTCGCCAGGCTAGAGTGCAGTGGCGTGAGCTCGGCTCACTGTAACCTCTGCCTCGCCTCCCAGGTTCAAGTGATTCTCCTGCCTCGGCCTCCCGAGTAGCTGAGACTATAGGCATGAACCACCATGTCCAGCTAATTTTTGTATTTTTAGTAGAAACGGGGTTTCACCATGTTGGCCAGGATGGTCTCGAACTCTTGACCTCGTGATCTGCCCGCCTCGGCCTCCCAAAGTGCTAGGATTACAGGTGTGATCCACCATGCCTGGCCTCAAGTATGCTTTTTAGCCAGGGTCTCATGAGCCCACCAACTAACATTAAATAGATCAAATAATTAGGTAAATAAATGGTCTCCTCATTTCAACCAAGCAGCCTATTTATTAATCTCCTACAACTGAATCTCTGTAATACCCGATATATTTTTCTATGTACAACTACAAGTTTTAGCAACTGCACAGATACTTCTCTGTTCATCCAGTAAGTAATCTAGAGAAATTCTATTATTTTGCACAACTTTAAAAAGAAAAATTAAAGTCTATTGTGTAACCATAGCCTTTACAATAGAATATGCTATAGAGCCCTAGTAGGGGGAATAAATTTCTAACCATTGCCTCATTTACTCTAAACCATGGGGAACAAAAATACCTAACAAATGATAGCCATTGAAGAGTAATGGCCTCCTGGCAATACTCTATAATCTATTCTGAATAAGTTCTCTTTAACTTATGAATTAGGTTAACTGCAGTGAACCAATATTCTGTTTCTGATATTATGAGGCAACAGATGTCCCATTAAAATTTCTCATCCTCATTGGACCTTCATCTTTTACTTATGAAGGCATAAGTTTGTTCATATATAATGTTGGCTGCAAAATCTTCTACATATAAAAGTGTACCCCATGAGTGCACACAAGAGGCCCTTTTTAATTTCTGTTGTTTGCAGAGCCATAAGAAAAAAACCGTAATCTAAGAGTGTCATGATAGTAGAGATGTCTTGATTTTTCATCTTGTGAAGAAAGCGATCTACATCAAAGCTGCCTTTGCTTTTTAGGAGAAACTTCCCTGTTTAACTTTACCTTAATATCTGCGGCTGGTTGTGGTGGCTCATGCCTGTAATCCCAGCACTTTGGGAGGCCTAGGTGGGAGGATCACCAGGTCAGGAGATTGAGACCATCCTGGCTAACACGGTGAAACCCCGTCTCTACTAAAAATACAAAACAATTAGCTGGGCGTGGTGGTGGGCACCTGTAGTCCCAGCTACTAGGGAGGCTGAGGCAGGAGAATGGCATGAACCCAGGAGGCGGAGCTTGCAGTGAGCTGAGATGGCACCACTGCCCTCCAGCCTAGGCAACAGAGCAAGACTCCGTCTCCAAAAAAAAAAAAAAAAAAAAAAAAACTCCAATGGGCATACAATTGCAAGAATTTGGAGGGCCCCTTCTCAGTTGTGAGATTATCAACCTAAGGTTCAAGGTCCTGAAGTCTTGCTTCAGTGTAGATGGCAAGCAGACTCAATCTCTGGGTTCTAGACTATAAAGGGTTTTTCTGTCCTCAGTCAATAGACCATAAAAGGTTGTTTACCTGGTGAAAATATGCTTTGCCATAACGCATTAAAGCCTTGCTGCATTTAGTCATATTAAACTTCAGTAACAGAACACACATGAGGTTCTATTATCAGGTACATAAGCCATCCAATTACAAGTTTATAATAGTCAAAACAGTTTTTCACTCTCAGTGAATCTGATTGTCATCAATCTGCAATTACAAAAGCAATCCTGTCAATTTAGTTGGATTTTCTCAATACTATTGTTTCTGGAATAGCTTATTTAACAGTTTATAACTTCTCCAGTGAAATCGGATTTTTTTTTTTTTTTTTCCTGAGACAGAGTCGTACTCTGTCACCCAGGCTGGAGTGCAGTGGCACGATCTCAGCTCACTGCAGCCTTTGCCTCCTGGGTTCAAGTGATTCTCTGCCTCAGCCTACCGAGTAGCTGGGATTACAGGCGCCCACCACCACGCCTGGCTAATTTTTGTATTTTTAGTAAAGACAGGGTTTCACCATCATGGCCAGGCTGGTCTTGAACTCCTGACCTCGTGATCCACCCTTCTTGGCCTCCCAAAGTGCTGGTATTACAGGCATGAGCCACTGCTCCCGGCCGAAATAAGTATATTATTGGAGCCTTTTTCAGAAATGTCTCCTGAGCAAAACATATTTTTTATTATCCTTTAAGCTACTGTTATAACATCAGACTTTTCCCATGAGAAAATTTTTATTCTACAAGAAAATATGCATTAAACATGACAATTGAATAAGATTTCTTTACAAATGTTTAAATAGATCCTCAGGTAGCAGAAATGTACATGAAGCTTTTTTTTTTTTTTTTTTTGAGATGGAGTCTCGCTCTGTCACCCAGGCTGGAGTGCAGTGGCGCGATCTCGGCTCACTGCAAGCTCCATCCCCCGAGTTCATGCCATTCTCCTGCCTCAGCCTCCCGAGTAACTGGGACTACAGGTGCCTGCCACCATGCCCGGCTAATTTTTTTTTTTTTTTTTTGTATTTTTAGAAGAGACGGGGTTTCACCGTGTTCGCCAGGATGGTCTCAATCTCCTGACCTTGTGATCCACCCGCCTTGGTCTCCCAAAGTGTACATGAAGTTTGGATTGTCTTCTCAGGATTATATGTTTGAGAGGAAAAAAACGGTCCTAACCTATTTTGGTAGTTAGGACAGTCACCACACACACACACACACACACACACACACACACACACACACATTTAATTTATATTTAACTTAGATTATTATTATGTATTTTTTTGAGATGGAGTTTCACTCTTATTGCCCAGGCTGGACTGCAATGGCACCATCTCAGCTCGCTGCAACCTCTGCCTCCCAGGTTCAAGTGATTCTCCTGCCTCAGCCGCCCAAGTAGCTGGGATTACAGGAGTGCACCACCACACCCAGCTAATTTTGTATTTTTAGTAGAGACAGAGTTTCTCCGTGTTGGTCAGGCTGGTCTTGAACTCCTGACCTCAGGTGATCTGCCCACCTCGGCCTCTGAAAGTGCTGGGATTACAGGCATGAGCCACTGTGCCCCGCCAACTTAGACTATTTTTTATCTCTTCTGTGGCGAGTGATAAAATGCAGTGCTTTTGATAAAGGAAGCTTTAAGAACTCAGGAATGAAAAAAGTCACTGCTGTCTAGGTTCTCTATGAGTTCACACTTAACATTAAATTTATGTCCTCTTAAATATCAAGTTTGTTTCTTCAATTTAGGTTCATAGCACTGATAACTGAGAGGTTATCATAGGTAATCTGACTTGGAACACACAGTTTACTCAAATGGCACATCTAAAAAATTTCAGTACTGGCTGATTTAGTATAAAAATGTGGCAGAGTATTTTCATAATGTATAATTCATTTTTGTTTTGCCTGGATTACTAGTTTTATTTTTTATATATATTTTTTGAGACAGAGTCTCACTCTGTGGCTCAGGCTGGAGTGCAATGGCACAATTTTGGCTCAATGCAACCTCCGCCTCCCAGGTTAAAGTGATTCTCCCCTCAGCCTCCCAAGTAGCTGGGACTACAGGCATGCACCACTATGCCTGGCTAATTTTTGTATATATATATATTTTTTTAAGTCTCTTTTTTTTCCCCATAAGTTACTGGGCTACAGGTGGTATTTGGTTACATTAGTATGTTCTTTAGTGGTGATTTGTGAGATTTTGTTGCACCCATCACCTGAGCAGTAGAGCAGTATACACTGCACCATATTGGTAGTCTCTATCCCTCATCCCCCTCCTACTCTTTCCCCAACATCCCCAAAGTCCATTGCATCATTCTTATGCCTTTGTGTCCTCATAGCTTAGCTCCCACATCTCAGTGAGGACATTCAATGTTTGATTTTCCATTCCTGAGTGACTTCACTTAGAATAATAGTCTCCAATGTTATCCAGGTCACTGCAAATGTTAATTCATTCCTTTTTATGGCTGAGTAGTATTCCATTGTGTGTGTGTGTGTGTGTGTGTGTGTGTGTGTATATGATGATATATATATATGATGTGTATATATATATATGTATATATGATATGATTCTTTCCTTCATCTTAACGTTAGATAACCTGATGACAATGTGATTAGGTGATGATCTTTTTGTGATGAATTTCTCAGGTATTCTTTGTGCTTTTTGTATTTGAATGTCTAGGCCTCTGGCAAAACCAGGTAAGTTTTCTTCAATTATTTCCCCAAATATGTTTTCCAAACTTTTAGATTTTTCTTCTTTTTCAGAAAAACCAATTATTCAGGCTTCTTTAAGGTTTTGTTCATTTTTTTTTGTCTTTGCTGGATTGTGTTAATTTGAAGATCTTGTCTTTGATCTCTGAATTTCTTTCTTCTACTTGTTCAATTCTATTGCTGAGACTTTCCAGAGCATTTTGCATTTTTATAAGTGTGTCCAATATTTCCTGAGGTTCTGATTGTTTTTTCTTTATGCTATTTCCTTGCATATTTATCCCTTATTTTTATTTTATTTACTTATTCATTATTATTTTTTATTATTTTTATTTATTATTATTTTTTGAGATAGAGTTTCACTCTTGTTGCCCAGGCTGGAGTGCAATGGCACAATCTTGGCTCACCACAACCTCTGCCTCCCGGGTTCAAGCGATTCTCCTGCCTCAGCCTCCTGAGTAGCTGGGATTACAGGCATGCTCCACCACACCTGGCTAATTTTGTATTTTTAGTAGAGATAGGGTTTCTTCACGTTGGTCAGGCTAGTCTCGAACTCCCGACCTCAGGTGATCCATCCACCTCAGCCTCCCAGAGTGCTGGGATTACAGGCATGAGCCACCAACCCAGCCTATTTTTAATTTTTTTGAGATGGAGTCTTGCTCTGTCGACCAGGCTAGAGTGCAATGGCGCAATCTTGGCTCACTACAACCTCTGCCTCCCGGGTTCAAGTGATTCTCCTGCCTCAGCCCCCTGAGTAGCTGGGATTAAAGGCTTGCACCACCACGCCTGGCTAATTTTTGTATTTTTACTAGAGACGGGGTTTCACCATGTTGGTCAGGCTGGTCTGGAACTCCTGACCTCGTGATCTGCCCACCTCTGTTGTAGCAGGATGAGACACAGACAAGAACCCCTCAGACACCGAGTTGCAGAAGGAAAGGGCTTTATTCAGCTGGCAGCATTGGAAGACTCACATCTCCAAAAACTGAGCTCCCTGAGTGAGCAATTCCTGTCCCTTTCAAGGGCTTACAACTATAACGGGGTCCGCCTGAAAAGGTCATGATTGATTGAGCAAGCAGAGGGTATGTGACTGGGGGCTGCATGTACCACTAGTCAGAACAGAACAGAACAGGATAGGGATTTTCATGATGCTTTTCCATACAATGTCTGAAATCTATAGATAACACAAGCAGTTAGGTCAGGGGTGGATTTTTAACTAGCAGGCCCAGGGCATGATGCTGGGCTATCTGCCTGTGGATTCCATTTCTGCCTTTCAGTTTTCACTTCTTCTTTCTTTGGAGGCAGAAACTAGGCATAAGACAATATGAGGGGTGGTCTCCTCCCTTTTTCCCCCCGTTTGAGAACCTCTCTCATTAGTGGAAGTTCTCACCTTTATCCTCACTACTCATGTCTTCCTGTAAGACAGATCGATAGTGATTCATATAGTACACTTGTGCTGAAGCATTTTGGTGAACTAAGGTAGCGATGAAGCTTTTTATCATTTGAAGAAGTACATAGCAAACAAGGGAGCAGTAAGCATGTTTTTATTACTATTATAACTCCTACTATAAGAGTTTTAAATCCTCCTAGTGCTGGGAACCATTTTTCAAACATGGCCCCAGGATTAAATCCATGCCACACTTGCGCAGGCACATGTGCCAGTTTTGTCATGTCTCTAACTATGTCTTCAACTACTTGCCCTTGGTCATCTATGTGTAGACAGCAATTAGTAAGGTTAAATTTCCCACAGACCCCTCCTTTAGCTGTTAGCAAGTAGTCTAGGGCTAGTCTATATTTATAGATAGCATTTCTCATCTGGGTTTCTTGCTGGGCTAAAACAGTTGAAGCTCTGCCAGTTTTATTAGTGATTATTTCTAAGACAGCTTGTAATCGTATGATTCAGTTGAGCATATAAATGGGGATTCGGTATCCCCATGAGCTGTCTTGTGCCTAAGTGGCAGGCCCATAGTACTGTATGATTCTTTCAGGGGGCCACTTGTCATCTTTTCAGTCGCCTATAGCTATGCTTCTCTTTTCTCGGGAAGCATAGACCAGGAAACCTAGAAGTTCGCCTGTTTTTATGGGCAGTAGGAAAAAAGATGGGTTATAGCACACATCAGGCTGGTCATTTCGTGGGCTACATACCTTGTATAGAATAGCATTATACAAACAAGTTCCTTTTAGAGTCCTGGTACACTTAAAATAACCATAAAATAATAGGACTGTAGCAAACTTTTGTCCTACCTCAGTGACTTGATGTATATATTGGGAACAGTCCTCAGTCTGAGGAAGGTCAGTTGAAGTCCTTACTGTACAAGTCCAAATTTTCAGGGAAATGAGTCCTGTGATTAATTTCCTCATGCTTTGGTGATGCGGGAACCAGTCAGCTTCCAGGTGTGACTGGAGCAGGGCTTGCCATCTTTTTCAGAGTCACTTTGCAGAGGTTGGCAAAGCTGCTCCCATCCAAGTATAGCTCACAGTCTCCTGATACTCAAGATGGTCTCGGAGGTTGGGCCCACTAGAATAAACTGAGTCTAATACCTCTACACAGTTATGTAGGGCCCAGCCCTACAGGGTCTGTGGGTTTTTTCTCCTCATGTGCGGAGATGAGAGATCATAGAAATAAAGACACAAGACAGAGATAGAAGAAAAGACAGCTGGGCCCGGAGGACCACTACCACCAAGGTGTGGAGACTGGTAGTGGCCCTGAATGCCTGGCCATGCTGTTATTTGTTGGATACAAGACAAGGGGGCAGGGTAAGGAGTGTGAGCCATCTCCAATGATAGGTAAGGTCACACGAGTCACGTGTCCACTGGACAGGGGGCCCTTCCCTGTTTGGCAGCCGAGGTGGAGAGAGAGAGAGGACAGATTACACCACTATTTCTTTTATGCATTTCAAAGACTTTTAGTACTTTCACTAATTCTGCTACTGCTATCTAGAAGGCAGAGCCAGGTATACAGAGTGGAACATGAAAGTGGACCAGGAGCGTGACTATTGAAGCACAGCATCACAGGGAGACGGTTAGGCCTCCAGATGGCTGCAGGCGGGCCTGACTGATGTCAGGCCTTCCACAAGAGGTGGTGGAGCAGAGTCTTCTCTAACTCCCCCGGGGAAAGGGAGACTCCCTTTCCTGGTCTGCTAAGTAATGGGTGCCTTCCCTAGGCACTGATGCTACTGCTAGACCAAGGTCTGCTAGGTAATGGGTGCTGGCATTACTGCTAGACCAGGGAGCCCACTAGTGGCCCTGTCTGGGCGTAACAGAGGGCTAACATTCTTGACTTCTGGTCACTTCTCACCATGTCCCTTCACCTCCTATCTCTGTAGGGCCTGGTTTTTCCTAGGTTATAATTGTAGAACAAAGATTATTATAATATTAGAATAAAGAATAATGCTACAAACTAATGATTAATGACATTCATATATAATCATATCCATAATCTATTTCTAGTAGAACTATTCTTATACTATATATTTTCTTTATTATACTGGAATAGCTTGTGCCCTCAGTCTCTTGCTTTGGCACCTGGGTGGCTTGCCACCCACATCTTCCCCCTTTTTATTGACTAGGATCACCACCACCATCATTGCTTGTTGTTGACTTTGCACTTGTCCTCAGACTCCTTGGAGACATGTGCAGACTAAAAGTAGACAACATAAACATACCAATATTAATAATGCCAGTGACAACAATGATCCTCCGAGGGGTTTGATCCATTTAAAAGGATTAAGACAGTTATGTTTTAACTGGGCTCTCTGATACCGGGAGCAAGGTGGCAGGGTTTAGGGTGTTGCAAACTTCAATGGTTATGGGGGGATTTTCACATAGCAAGATTTGGTACTTGTTAATCTAGCATTTGTTAGCCAATGATGTCCTTTGGTATTCATCAAATTTACCACAGCATGGGGGGGCCTTTATATTCAGGTTTTGCCCAAGAGTTAGCTTATCTGCTTGTTGTGCTAGCAGGGCTGTTGCTGCCAAGGCCCTCAAACATGAGGGCCAACACTTAGAAACCCTGTCTAATTGTTTAGAGAGATAGGCCACCAGCTTTGGCCAGTGTCCCACAGTCTGGGTTAAAACTATTAACTATCATTTTTTTTTCTGACACATATTGTGTAAAAAAAAAAAAAATTATAAAAAAAGAATTTATGCAAGAAATTGTTGTATAAATTTAAAAGTAATTAGTCCTCCTGAATGTAAAACTATTGTGAGGTCAGGTAGCCCCAGGGCTGGGGCCGCCATGAGCTTTTCTTTTAACTCACGAAAAGCTCGTTGCTGTTGGTTGTAATAGATGTAGTTTATCCAATCTACATTTTTATTAACTGTCACCCACCAAAATATTGACTCAAATCCTGCAGCTATTTGATTTCAAGCTTTAAATTGATCTGGTATTCCCCGTGGGACTCCAATTGTGTCTAAATAGACGTGAGAGTCGAAAGACCCATAAGGGGCTTCTCTTACTTTACGATGTCTTATTTTTCCTCCCTCTGGTTGATGAAATGCCAGGGTGAAAGGGATAGCCAATTGGACTAAAGTACAAGTGCCACTCCAGTTATTCGGCACAGTGCCCAGTAAAGGTCCACCACAATACCACCACACATCTGCTCAGGGATGAACAAGGGCTGACTGATTGATAAGCTCTTGAAAATTCTTAAGCTCACTGCATCCCTTCAGGTCTCCAAGGAATGCTAAGTTTCCTCCCTGTCATGAGAGACATGAAGTGAACTTAGTGTTGGGAGACAGAAGCTGGATGGCCCTCAGGGGCTGACTCACAGGGTGCTGGACTTTGGGATATCACAGAGAGAGCTTGGTACAACTTATTACTCCAGGCTGTAGAATCCTGGAAAAGAGCTACCATGCAGCCCATGCCTGGTGGACAGGAGGACCACCTTAGTGGAAAGGGGACAATCTGGGCCTCTGGCCTGCCATGTGCCCAAGCATAACAATTGCTTTTGTTTAACGTGTGGATGGAATATTTGATCCATTCCAACCAGGAATTTGCATCTTCGTATCCTGTTTGCCAAAGTTTGTTTTAAGTCTTTAACTTCTATGATCCTCTAGTAAAATTAATGTATGATTTTAGGGAATTACAAAAACCAGTTGGGGCAGTCCATCCTTGCTCTTTAGTGGTCCACAGAATGTTGGACCAACTATGGCATAAAAGCTCTACATTGGGGAGCAAGGCTCCTGGTTGACACTGGAGGCTTTATCGAAATTTCCCCGGATTAAACGGTCCTAATTTACTAATGCCCAGTCTGAGGAGAGTCAGGAGGGACAGAGGTACTTTTCTGAAGTACAGAGCTTTCTGAAGTACAAGTCTTTGACTTGGCAAGTCCCCACAGGGTATAACAAGGCATGCATTAAATGCAATAGTTTGAGGTGAAATTGACTTGGCTACATTAATAACTAGATGGTCAGCAATAGAGCGAGGAAAGAAGAAAGAGTAATAGAATAGATGAGAGAGTTAAATTTTTCTTAGCTTTAGTTTGGTAGGGTTTTCCTCTTGGACTATGGCCCATGACTCTGGAGGGGGTGGCGCTTTCTTGACTCAGTTGTGATGAGTCCATCCTTTTTTCGCTGCATGAACAGCAGTCTCAGTGGTTAGCAGCACAAGGTAGGGTCCTTCCTAGGCTGGCTCAAGTTTCCTTTCTTTTCACCCTTTGATGAGAACGTGATCTTCAGGCTGGTGCTGGTTTACTGGAAATTCTAGGGGTGGTACATGTGCTAAAAGACTTTTAGTTTTGATGGAAAGGAAAGCGGAAGATAAACCAAGTATATAATTTCTAAGAAACTGACCTTTTGTTTTAAATGTGGAGACATCAGCAGTGGACTTTGTAGTCCTTGGTGCCTTTCTACTGAGAAATTTCCTTTAGCATGTATTTTTTATTAGTTTTTAGATCAAAGAAGCCAAATACCATTTTATATTTGACAATGCTTCCTGTATGATTTTTATACCAGATAAGCTAAATTTCACCTTTATATTAGTGTGCTATTAATGTTAAACTTAGTTTTAATAAAACTTTATAGACACATTTATTCAATTTTTAATGTTGGATCATAAGGTAAGATTTTTTTTTTTTTTTTTTTTTTTTTGAGACGGAGTCTCGCTCTGTCGCCCAGGCTGGAGTGCAGTGGCGGGATCTCGGCTCACTGCAAGCTCCGCCTCCCGGGTTCACGCCATTCTCCTGCCTCAGCCTCCCAAGTAGCTGGGACTACAGGCGCCCGCAACTACGCCCGGCTAATTTTTTGTATTTTTAGTAGAGACGGGGTTTCACCGTTTTAGCCGGGATGGTCTCGATCTCCTGACCTCGTGATCCGCCCGCCTCGGCCTCCCAAAGTGCTGGGATTACAGGCGTGAGCCACCGCGCCCGGCCAAGGTAAGATTTTTATAGACTGTTTTTAACCTTTTATAATCTTTGTAAAAGAGCATGTTAGCGCTTTAAGAAAAACTCATTGTGTTTTTACTTTAACGTCCAGTTCACAGAACAACTGGATGATACCCCTTTAACTTTAGCTAATATGTTTACACACAGAATTTTCTTTAAAATTAATGTTTTAAAACTTGCTTAAACCTTCAAAACAATTTTTTTTAACCTTTTAATGTAG
Source organism: Homo sapiens (assembly GCF_000001405.40). NCBI lineage: Eukaryota > Metazoa > Chordata > Mammalia > Primates > Hominidae > Homo > Homo sapiens. The sequence continues at coordinate 348,142 of NW_003315962.1, read as the reverse complement.
GTAAAAATTTACATTCTTATGCCTCCTTATAATCCTTTTACCAAAGTTATATTTTACTTTGTTTATACACCTTGCATATAAACTGTTTTTTTCAATAGTTTTACATTCAGGAGGCCTAGTTACTTTTAAATTATACAACATTTCTTGCATAAATTTTTTTTTATAACTTTTTTTCTTTCACGACTTTCACAGACAATTCTTCTACAGGCCTCAACTTTCTGACTTATTACAAACATTTCTTTCTTTAAACAACCAGTTAATTTATTTCAGGACAAGAATTTACCATATAACATTCTTTTTACATAAATTCTGCTCCCTCACCTTCTTTCCCCTTTTTTTCCCAAAGATGATAACCATTCTTTTCCAAAGTGAACTTCCTTTATGTCTGTGGACTAGACTGTCTAAGGCCACAAGATTAGAAGTTACTATAATACATGTTACACTGTTAACTTTTAGCAAACTTTACTTTTGTTGAAAACCTTGTAAGTTTTGGATTTCAATTATCCTTTGCTATTAATAAGACCTTGTTTAGTCCAAATTAACTTAGAATTGGTATAGATGGCTTCTTTTTTTTCCTTCTATCATCCCATCCTAAAGGGAGTTCCTCCTAGGTCTGGTCAGACCTTTGTATGGTAATTAAGATTTAGACCCCCTGTTAGGAAACCTGCTAGGTTAAGGGAATTTTCAGTGGCTAATGTTAAATCATCTTTTTTTTTTTTTCCCTTAGGATATTTCTGAACTGGTGAGGTGTGCTCACAATGAGGTTTCCTCTAAAAGTTATTTTTCTACTTTCTTCTGTTAACAAAGCAGTTGCTGCTACAGATTGAATGCATTTGGGCCATCCACAGATTACTCAGTTAAGAATTTTTGATACGAAGGCTACAGGTTGTCAGTGGCCTCAGTGCTTTTGGGCTTCACCCTTGCTTACACTTACAACAAGGTTGTATTGGAGTGTTGTAGGGTCACGGAAAAGACCTCCAATTATCAATTACAGGTTTTAAATTTACGCTGGCTTTTAAAAGAATAGGGTACACTTTTTTTTTCTTAACTACTTGTATATTTCCCTCTTTCTTTCTCTCTTTCACTTTCTGTCTCTCTCTCTCTCTCTTCTTGACTCCCTCTTTGTCTGTCTCTTCCTCTCTCTCTCTGCTGGTCTTTCCTTGCCTCTGCCAGCCGCTTATGCTGCTGTTCTCTCAACCACTGTGGGGGGCAGTCTAAAACCAGCTGTAACCAAGTGTCTATATACAGGAACTGGTCAGTGTGCCCTGGATTACAGGTTACCTTGTGCCATACCTTTGAAACAAGGGACCTGTCCAGGCTTCCTTCTGGTGGCCAACCCACCTCTAATGCTGTTCAGTCTATCTTACACAAAGTTTTAAGTTTTCCTGGTGTCATAGTACTCCATAGTCTCCCTTAAATCTTGAAATTTTCAACATAGTTCCTGGTGGGGTGGGCTTACTTTGTGCTTGACCCATGCTTCCTCAAGACAAAACACCACGCTCACACCACACGCACACCACAAAACAAAGAACGGGTAAAAAGGGCACACACACACTTTCACAGTTTACACCAAATCAGAACCAAAACAAAAATCAGAGTATCAAGAAATCCAAGCCAGGTCAAAACCAAAACCAAAGTATCGAGCAATCCAAGTCAAGTCAAAAACAAAAACCAAAGTGCCGGTACAGGCACGTCGTGGGTGATCAGGCCATGCTTCCACTCAAATGGAGTGGGCAAGTTCCAAAGACCAGTCTTACCAAGTTTCAGATGTCTGGACTCCAAGTGCCAGTTCCTTCCTGGTGTTCAGCCACTGCGTTGATCCTCCGCAGGGGCCTGCTGTGCACCGCTCTAACAAGGCATTCCACCAGGGCAAATGCCTATCTGGGAGCGCTCTCAGGATCCATGTTGCTCAAGCTGGCCAGAGTCCCCCGCAGGGATGCTCCACAGGGCAAGCCTCAGCTGCCTAAGGAGGTGCATCAACCATCCATCCATTAATCACCTCATTCCCAGTCAGGGAACCAAGAAATGTAGCAGGACTAGCTGCAGACAAAAATCCCTCAGACACCAAGTTAAGGAAGGGCTTTATTCAGCTGGGAGCACTGGCAGATTCACGTCTCCAAAAACTGAGCTCCCCGAGTGAGCAATTCCTGTCCCTCTTAAGGGCTTGCAACTCTAAGGGGGTCCGCATGAGAGGGTTGTGATCAATTGAGAAAGCAGGGGGTACATGACTGGGGGCTGCATGCACTAGTAATTAGAATGGAACAGAACAGGACAGGGATTTTCACAGTACTTTTCCATACAATGTCTGTAATCTATAGATAACATAACCGATTAGGTCAGGGGTCAATCTTTAACTACCAGGCTCAGGGTGTGGCACTGGGCTGTCTGCCTGTGGATTTCATTTCTGCCTTTTAGTTTTTAGTTCTTCTTTCTTTGGAGGCAGAAATTGGGCATAAGACAATATGAGGGCTGGTCTCTTCCCTTATTCTTGAGATGGAGTCTCGCTTTGTGGCCCAGGCTGGAGTGCACTGGTGCAAGCTCAGCTCACTGCAACCTCCTACTCCCTGGTTCAAGCAATTCTCCTGCCTCAGCCTCCCAAGTAGCTGGGACTACAGGCACGTGCCACCATGCCCAGCTACTTTTTTTTGTATTCTTAGTAGAGATGGGGTTTCACCACGTTCGCCAGGATGGTCTCGATCTCCTGGCCTCATGATCCACCCACCTTGGCCTCCCCAGCTGCTGGGATTACAGGCATGAGCCACCGTGCCCGGCCAGAAGAGACACATATCTGACTCAAGTGTCAAATCAGGCAATCCTATAAGTTGGTACATTCTGCCACCCTTACCCTACTCACTAAAGTGCTCAAAGCTCTCCCTCCCAGAAGACACTGCACAGTGCCCTACAGTGTGTCCCTGGTGTTTTTTTTTTTTTTTTTTTTTGCTTTGCAAGTTCTTGCATGCCTCCTTAGGGTGAGTTTTTTTTGTTGTTGTTGTTTGTTTGTTTTTTTTGTCTTTTAAAACAGTTCTCCCCCCTTCACAAATATGAGATAATTCAGAAGACAGGCATTATTTTTGTCTTTTCCCCTAAATACAACCATCCAATTGGCTGACCAGGAAGAACTGGGGCTGGGGAAAGAAAATCTTAAGATCCCCAAAGGTTCTTTTTATGGGAAGGGTAAACCAGGATATTTCTCTCAGCCTCAGGACATTCAGCTGCTCTCCTGAGAAGCTCCATTTCCATACATCAGTGTGTCCTCTGGAAGGAGATGACCAAGGGGCTGATATTCACCAAACCTTCCAAAAGGTATGGCTGTTGTGTGTATCTTGGGTTATCCCAAGAGAGCTCTAAAACTCAAGACTTAAAAAAAAGCAGTGTGGCTGAGGACACACTGTCCCATCAAGTTTCCAAAGGGAAACTTGAATTTAAAGATATCCTGATAAGGCATTTGTGCCTAGGGAAGATAAAAGAAGAAAAAGCAGAAAAATTTTTGACAGTGGAGTGTAATGGGATTATTTTCTGCTTTCCTCCGGTGAAATATTTACAAATAGAAACATACAATAAAAAACAAAAATAGTTGATAATGTTGTGAATTGGATGGGAGTAGTTGGCTTTGGTGAATGTTGAAAAGAAACTGGAAATTTCAGTCCTGGTGCAGTGGCTCACGCCTGTAATCCCAGCACTTTGGGAGGCCAAGGCGGGCGGATCACCTGAGGTCAGGAGTTGGAGAGCAGCCTGGCTAACACGGTGAAACCCCGTCTCTACTAAAAATACAAAAATTAGCCGGGTGTGGTGGCACATGCCGGTAATCCCGGCTACTTGGGAGGCTGAGGCAGGAGAATTCCTTGAGCCTGGGAGACGGAGGTTGCAGCCTGGCCAATAGAGTGAGACTCCGTCACAAACAAAAAAAAAAAAAAAAAAGAAACTGGAAATTTAAGATTTTACTGCAAGCCAAGTTAGGCTGGCAGAACAGATTTAAGACTCTGCTTGCCACACATTTGGAAAATGTAGGAAAAAAACAGTGCTTCTGATTAAAGTTAAAATAATTAAATAGCAGGTAGACTGAAGTGGCTCTAGGGATCTAGGTTCCTGTGTAACAGCAACAAAACGATCTAACTCAAATGCGTATCTCGTAAGTTACTACCTTAGGAGAAAACAAAATTCAGGCTTAACCAACCATAAATCTCCAATTAATCTGATTACATAACCAGAAAATTTTCTCCTGGACACTCTAAATGAAACGACTACATAACTGTACCCAATCAATTATTTAGTTTGCTTTGCCTCTTCACAAACCTTAAAGCCTTTTCTTCAAGACCCGCTGGTAGCCCCCAAACGACAAACCATGTCTGGGGCTGTCCCACTGGTTCATCACTGTTTGCTCATATAAATTCTTTAATGTTTTAATGGTGCCTCCGTTTATGTCTGAATAGGTTAAAGTAGGGACTGGTGACCCCACAGACCAGAGCTCCTTCCACGCAGAAGCCCTGCACACCAAGTCGGCGTCTTTCCCTGGTGAACCTCTCCTCATCACCTCACAAGCTGGGGAAGATGCGGGCGCAGAGCTGCGCAAAGAGGGCTACAGGCTGGGGCCAAAGCCGCTGTGCTGAAACGGTACAGGACGCCTGGGTACCCTGCACCAGAGGAGACTGAGGGCTGAGCTGAGGGGGGCTCAGGCTCACAGACTCGGTCCCGCCACCGCCATTTCCGGCCGACTCCGATGAGGCCTCCCCAGTCTCCGGACGCCCTGACCCGCAAACTCAGCATTTCTCGGCTTTGTGGGTGTCCTGGAGTCTTAGCTATGAATGTTCCAATACCAGTAGGTCACAGGGCGACGGAGGATGAGGCTGTGGCAGAATCACCGAGACCTCCTGGAGCGGAGCACGCAGGCCAGTGATGTACTAACCCCAAGCTCTACCTGGAGCGAAAGACAAAGGCCCCGCCAGATACCGGGAGCCGCCCCTTCCTCTCTGGCTGTGAATCTGATTGGACAGTTTCCATCCCAGCACCCTGATTGGATAGAGCTCCCGGCCCCGCGCCCTCGGGCCTTGAGTGACAGAAGATGCTACCAGACAGTGCACTGAATGAGGCAAGAGTGACAGACTCTTGGCTCCAGTCATCTCCAGCAAGGGCTTTACCTCTGAGCTGGGCTTAGCTCTGCCTGGGGGTAATTTTTTAATCTTGTGTATAAGGTTAGGTCCACTTATAAATTTTATACACACACATATATGTTGTTTACAAATGGAAACACTATAATGGCAATTATTTTAATATTTAATATTTCATAACACTTCCGGCCCCTGATCTTCTGAGTAGGCAACCTGAGATTTTAAAAGAAAAGCAATCCTCTAAAACATAAAATGTCAGCCGTGTGTGAATTTTAAATATTTTAGTAGCCACATTAAACATAATAAAAAGAAACAAGTGAAATTATTTTTTAACCCAGTACATCCAAAATATTATTATTTTAACCCATTTATGCCTGAGGTTGCAATTTTTAAAATTTTTGCAGTCAGACGTTGGCAATGACCTTGAGCAGTGAGATATAAATAACTCCCATATGCTTAGTGTTCCAATAATGGAACACTGGGAATAAATGTGTGATCAACATATAATAATTATTATTATCATCATCTTTTTTTTGAGACAGAGTTTTGCTCTTGTTGCCCAGGCTAGAGTGCAATGGCGTGATCTCAGCTCACTGCAACCTCTGCCTCCTGGGTTCAATCACTTCTTCTGCCTCAGCCTCCCAAGTAGCTGGGATTACAGATGTGGGCCACCACACCCAGCTAATTTTGTATTTTTAGTAGAGACAGGGTTTTGCCATGTTGGCCAGGCTGGTCTTGAACTCCTGGCCTCAGTGATCCACCCATCTCGGCCTCTCAAAGTGCTGGGATTACAGGTGTGAGCAACCTCACCCAGCCCAATATATAATAATGATAATAATAATTATTATTATTATTTTGAGATGGAGTCTCACTCTGTCGCCCAGGCTGGAGTGCAGTGGCACAATCTTGGCTCATGGCAAGCTCCGCCTCCTGGGTTCACGCCATTCTTCTCCCTCAGCCTCCCGAGTAGCTGGGACTACAGGCACCCACCACCACGCCCAACTAATTTTTTGTATTTTTAGTAGAGACGCATTTCACCATGTTGGCAGGATGGTCTCGATATCCTGACCTTATGATCCACCCGCCTCGGCCTCCCAAAGTGCTGGGATTACAGGCGTGAGCCACCGTGCCTAGCCCAGTATGTAATTATTAATAGAGTGATTTTTGGTTCTAAATTTTCTTAACTGACTCTATTTCATATCTGCAGCACATCTCATTTTAAATCAGCCACATTCCAGGTACCCAGTAGCCTCAAATGGCAAGTAGCTGGCACATTGAAGTGCATCTCTGAAGACTGTGACTCTCTGACCTCAAAGAGGTAAAGGACCTGAATATCCTTTTTCTGCTGGAAGTGAGAGAACAGCCTCTGCCTATAAACTTCTCTGTTCAGGCCCAAGGGTGGGAGGCACAGTGCCCTTAGACAGAGCAGCAGCTGCAAGCAGGAAGTGTCCACATGTAGACCACTGTGTCCCAGTTGCTGTTTGGAGGGGATTTCTCTTCCAAATATCAGACAGTAAACAATGGATGATAGGGCCTCAGAAGGAGGAAACCCCATGTCTTCACATCTCTTCACAGTGTTGACCTCCAAAGTTCAGATGTGGAGGGAATAGATTAAAGGCTGATATGGTTTGGCTCTTTGTCCCAACCCAAATCTCATCTTGAGTTGTAATCCCCACATGTCGGGGAGGGGCCTTGTGGGAGGTGATTGAGTCGTGGGGGCAGACTTCCTCTTGCTGCTCTCTGATAGAGTTCTCAGGAGATCTGGTTGTTTGATAAGTCTATAGTGCTTTCTCTCTCTTTCACTCTCTCCTGCCACCTGTTGAAGACATGCCTTTCTTCCCTTTTGCCTTCTGCCACGATTGTACGTTTCCTGAGGCCTCCCCAGCCATGCAGAATTTTGAGTCAATTAAATCTCTTCTCTTCATAAACTACTCTGTTTCAGGTAGTTTTTTTGTTTGTTTGTTTGTTTTTTGGGGTTTTTTTTGACAGAGTCTCACTCTTGTCGCCCAGGCTGGAGTGCAGTGACGCGATCTGTGCTCACTGCAACCTCCGCCTCCCATGTTCAAGCAATTCTTCTGCCTCAGCCTCCCGAGTAACTGGGATTACAGGTGCCTGCCACTACAACCAGCTAATTTTTTGTGTTTTTAGTAGAGACGGGGTTTCACCGTGTTAGCCAGGACAGTCTCGATCTCCTGACCTTGTGATCCACCTGCCTCAGCCTCCCAAAGTGCTGGGATTACAGGCATGAGCCACCGTGCCTGGCCTCAGGTATGTCTTTATAGCAGTGTGAAAATAAATTAATACAAAGGTCAACTCCTTATTTTGCTATTTGGCCTCGGACCTAATTGTCTGGCTGTAGCTGTATGTTTTTCTCCTGTGGTATGGGGCACTGTGTGAGTTTAAGCACCAATTATATACATCTACTTGCTCTTCTGTATAATTCAATACCACCTAACAGAAATCTAACTTTAAATAAATGGAAAAGAAAATCAGTACTTATAAGGTGCAGACCATTTGCAGGTTATTTGCAATGAATCTTTTTGGAATCCTGATACCCTGTCTATAATGAATGTTTATGTTAGTAAGGTATAACTGCATAACAAACTATCCTAAAACTTACTAGCTCATCATTGAACTGGTTAGAAATTTAGGCTGGGCTTCAGGCATGAGTGGTCAGCTGCTGGCAGATTGGGTGGTTCTGCTTCTGAGAGTGAGCTACCTGTCAACTGGGGCACTTCAATTTTTCTCCTTGTGATACTTTTATTTTTCAGCAAGCAAAAATGAGCTTTTAAGACCCATTTTAGAAACATTTAAGACGTTTTGAGCCTAGGCTCAAAACTGACATGCTGTCATTTCAGTTTTGGCCTGTGCAAATAAGGCCAGAAAGATCCAAGATTTAGAAAACAGATCCTGTCTCTTGATGGGAACTATTATAAAATCATATGCTAAGGGCATGGATATGAGAATGAATAAAAATAATTGTTTTTTTCAATCAATTTTATTATGCTTTTTTTTTTTTTTTTTTTTTTTGGAGACGGAGTCTCACTGTCGCTCAGGCTGGAGTGCAGTGGCGCGATCTCGGCTCACTGCAAGCTCCACCTCCCGCGTTCATGCCATTCTCCTGCCTCAGGCTCCGCAATAGCTGGGACTAAAGGTGCCCGCTACCACGCCCGGCTAATTTTTTTGTATTTTTTTAGTAGAGATGGGGTTTCACCCTGTTAGCCAGGATGGTCTCGATCTCCTGACCTCGTGATTTGCCCGCTTCTGCCTCCCAAAGTGCTGGGATTACAGGCGTAAGCCACTGCGCCCGGCCTATTATGCTTTTATTTGCAGATAAGGTTTATTTAACTGTCCCACAGCTACTAAGCAGCTGGGCTGGGATTAAGGATTAACTCTATCTGAGTCCAGAGCTCATGCACTTCCACAGACCACACTACTCAGCCACGTTTTCTAGTCCATCAAGACTCTGGAGGCTGGGCGCGTGGCTCACGCCTGTAATCCCAGCACTTTGGGAGGCCGAGGTGGGTGGATCACAAGGTCAGGAGATCGAGACCGTCCTGGCTAACACGGTGAAACCCCGTCTCTACTAAAAACACAAAAAATTAGCCGGGCCTGGTGGCGGGTGCCTGTAGTCCCAGCTCCTCGGGAGGCTGAGACAGGAGAATGGCGTGAACCCGGGAGGCGGACATTGCAGTGAGCCGAGATCATGCCACTGCACTCCAGCCTGGGCAACAGAGAGAGACTCCGCCTAAAAAAAAAAAAAAGGCTCTGTAGAGGGACACTTCTGAAATAGAAGCAAGATTATGTTTTATTCTCATCCCATCCAGTTAGCACTCTTGGGGGAATTCATTCCCTCTAGAGAATGCTGCTGAAGTCTCTTGGAAAAACTATAAACCATTTGAGAAAATGGCTGAACACTGAGTTTAGTAAATTAAGGCCTAATATTATGTTTTTTATTTCTCATTATAAGAGAAATTTGAAAACACCTATAATGCACTCCACACATCTGCAAAATCTTTGTATCTCTTTCTGGTAGTTCTAGGCTATTTATAATTTTCAACACAGAAGAAATCAAATTACTGTGCCTGAAACAACCTCTTACTCGAAAGGTAAGTGACATAGATAGAGCTGCTGATATTTTCTCCTGCTGCAATTTAGCCAAACAGCTGTGTATACTTTGAAGGGCAAAGATGTTTTCTAAGCCCACAAATTTAGGAGCAGCTATGGGGCAAAGCCTGAAGCACACATAAAAATCACACACAAGCAATGCATTCTTCACCCTGAATAAATGCTTCTTACCCCTGCCTGGATATTAGAGCAACCTGAAGGTGGGATGTTTAAAGTCCCCAAACTCAAGTTGCAATGGCACAATTAGCCAAAATCCTGGAGTGAGACCCAGGAGACAATGTGATTTAAAGCTCTCCAGGAGGTTACAGTCACAGCCAAACTCCCAAATCACTGCTTGACATGAACATCATTTGGTGAGCTAGTTTAAAATATTTTCCAAATAAATGCAAAAGTGTTTGCTGTTGAGTGTAGCCTTTCAGTCTTCATTGTGTACCTACTTTCTATCATTTGTAGAACTGACCTCTGCTACTTGTTTTGTTCCTGATTCAAACCAGTTCTGTACAGACTGGGTGCACACTGCGTGCAGGGCACTGTGCTAGGCGGCCTGGCCTTGGTGAGTACTATCGTGGGGAGAAGACTTTGCTGTAAAAAATTGCATCCTCCAAATTAAAACAGTGCTACTTAATTGAGGTAGAAATTGGAAAACCTTATGGGTCTCCCAAGAGACAGAACATAAAGATATACCTTGGAATATTAATATCCATCTCAGAACACCTGCATGAAAATGCCCCACTTTAAAACAAAATAATACCAAACATTACTGTAATTCTGAAATATTGTTAGGATTAAATATGTAATATTTAAATTTTTATTAATGTATAGCATACATACAGAAATACATGCACAAAGCATTAATATAAAGCTTAATAAATCATTGTAAGGCAAACACATTTGTTTAACCATAGAATAGAATTAGCCTTGTTTATGCCCCCAACCACCATTTTCAGCCTCTTTTCCTTCTCCTCCCTAAAGGTAATCACAATCTTTTTTTGTTAATTTAATTTTTATTATTTTTAAAATTTTACTTTAAGCTCTGGGATACATGTGCAGAACATGCAGGTTTGTTACATAGGTATACATGTGACACGGTAGTTTGCTGCACCTATCAACTGGTCATCTGGGTTTTAAGCCCCACATGCATTAGGTATTTGTCCTAATGCTCTCCCTCCCCTTGCCCCCTCAGACAGGCCTCAATGTGTGATGTTCCCCTCCCTGTGTCTATGTGTTCTCATTGTTCAGCTCCCACTTATGAGTGAGAACATGCAGTGTTTGGTTTTCTGTTTCTGTGTTAGTTTGCTGACAATGATGTCTTCCAGCTTCATCCATGTCCCTGCAAAGGACATGAACTCATTTTTTATGGCTGCATGGTATTCCATGGTGTATATGTGCCACATTTTCTTTATCCAGTCTATCATTGATGGGCATTTGAGTTGGTTCCGAGTCTTTGCTATTGTGAACAGTGCCACAGTAAACATATGTGTGCATGTGTCTTTATAGTGGAATGATTTATAATCCTTTGGGTATATACCCAGTAATGAGATTGCTGGGTCAGATGGTATTTCTAGTTCTAGATCCTTGAGGAATTGCCACACTGTCTTCCACAATGGCTGAACTAATTTATTCTCCCACCAACAGTGTAAAAGGATTTCTATTTCTCCACATCCCCTCCAGCATCTGTTGTTTCCTGACTTGCTAATGATCTCCATTCTAACTGGTGTGAGATGGTATCTCATTGTGGTTTTGATTTGCATTCTCTAATGACTAGTGATGATGAGCTTTTTTTCTTTTTTTCTTTTTTTTTGAGTTAGAGTCCTTCTCTGTCGCCCAGGCTAGAGTGCAGTGGTGCAATCTCAGCTGGCTGCAAACTCCACCTCCCGGGTTCAAGCAATTCTCCTGCCTCAGCCTCCCAAGTAGCTGGGATTACAGGTGCCTGCCACTGTGCCTGGCTAATTTTTATATTTTTTAGTAGAGACAGGGTTTCACCATCTTGACTAGGCTGGTATTGAACTCCTGACCTCGTGATCTACCCACCTTGGTCTCCCAAAGTGCTGGGATTACGGGCGTGAGCCACTGCTCTGGGCCTGATGAGCTTTTTTTCATATGTTTGTTGGCCACATAAATGATTTGTTTAAGTTCCTTGTAGATTTTGGATATTAGACCTCTGTCAGATGGGTAGCTTGCAAAACTTTTCTCCCATTCTATAGGTTGCCTTTTCACTCCGATGGTAATTTCTTTTGCTATGCAGAAGCTCTTTAGTTTAATTAGATCCCATTTGTCAATTTTAGCTTTTGTTGCAATCGCTTTCAGTGTTTTAGTCATGAAGTCTTTACCCATGCCTATGTCCTGAATGGTATTGCCTAGGTTTTCTTTTAGGATTTTTATGATTTGGGGTTTTACATTTAAGTCTTCAATTCATCTTGAGGATTGTCTTGGCTATACGGGCTCTTTTTTGGTTCTATACAAAATTTAAAGTAGTTTTTTCTAACTCTGCAAAGAAAGTCACTGGTAGCTTGATGGGAATAGCATTGAATCTGTAAATTACTTTGGTCAATATGGCCATTTTCATGATATTGATTCTTCCTATCCATGAGTATGTAATGTTTTTCCATTTGTTTGTGTCCTCTCATTTCCTTGAGCAGTGGTCTGTAGTTCTCCTTGAAGAGGTCCTTCAAATGCCTTGTAAGTTGTTTTCCTAGATATTTTATTCTCTTTGTAGCAATTGTGAATGAGATTTCAGTCATGATTTGGCTCTCCGCTTGTCTATTGTTGTTGTTTAGGAATGCTTGTGTGTTTTTTTTGTTTCTTTTTGTTTTTGAGACGGAGTCTTGCTCTGTCACCCAGGCTGGAGTCCAGCGGTGCAACCTTGGCTCACTGCAACCTCCGCCTCCTGGGTTCAAGCGATTCTCCTGCCTCAGCCTCATGAGTAGCTGGGATTACAGGCACACACCATCATGCCTGGCTAATTTTTGTATTTTTAGTAGAGACGGCATTTCACCATGTTGGCCAGGATGGTCTCGATCTCTTGACCCCATGATCTGCCCACCTCAGCCTCCCAAAGTGCTGGGATTACAGGCACGAGCCACCATGCCAGGCCTATGCTTGTGATTTTTGCACATTGATTTTGTATCCTGAGACTTTACTAAAGTTGCTTATCAGCTTAAGGAGTTTTTGGGCTGAGATGATGGGGTTTTCTAAATATACAATCATGTCATTTGCAAACAGAGACAATTTGACTTCCTGTCTTCCTATTTGAATACACATTATTCCTTTCTCTTGCCTGATTGCCCTGGCCAGAACTTACAATATGATGTTGAGTAGGAGTGGTGAGAGAGGGCATCCTTGTCTTGTGCCGGTTTTCAAAGGGAAAGCTTCCAGCTATTGTTCATTCAGTATGATATTGGCTATGGGTTTGTCATCAATAGCTCTTATTATTTTGAGGTGTGTTCCATCCATACCTAGTTTTTTAAGAGTTTTTAGCATGAAGGGATGTTGAAGTTTATCAAAGGCCCTTTCTCCATCTATTGAGATAATCATGTGGTTTTTGTCATTGGTTCTGTTTATGTGATGGATTATGTTGGTTGATTTGTGTATGTTGAACCAGCCTTGCATCTCAGGGATGAAGCCCACCTGATCATGGTGGATAAGCTTTTTGATGTGCTGCTGGATTTGGTTTGCCAGTATTTTATTGAGGATTTTCGCATTGATGTTCATCAGGGATATTGGCCTGAAATTTTTTTTTTTATTGTGTCTCTGCCAGGTTTTGGTATCAGGATGATGCTAGCCTCATAAAATGAGTTAGGGAGGAGTCCCTCTTTTGCTATTGTTTGAAATCATTTCAGAAGGAATGGTACTAGCTCCTCTTTGTACCTCTGGTAGAATTCAGCTGTGAATCCATCTGGGCCTGGGCATTTTTTGGTTGGTAGCCTGTTAATTACTGCCTCAGTTTCAGAACTTGCTATTGGTTTATTCAGGGATTCATCTTCTTCCTGGTTTAGTCTTGGGAGGGTGTATGTGTCCAGGAATTTATTCATTTCTTCTAAATTTTCAAGTTTATTTGCATAGAGATGTTTATAGTATTCTCTTATAGTAGTTTGTATTTCTGTGGGATCAGTGGTAATAGCCCCTTTATCATTTTTTATTGTGCCTATTTGATTCTTGTCTCTTTTCTTCTATACTAGTCTAGCTAGTAGTCTATCTATTTTGTTAATCTTTTCAAAAAACCAGTTCCTAGATTAATTGATTATTTGAAGGTTTTTTGTGTCTCTATCTCCTTCAGTTCTGCTCTGGTATTAGTTATTTCTTGTATTCTGTTCGCTTTTGAATTTGTTTGCTCTTGCTTCTCTAGTTCTTTTAATTGTGATTTTAGGGTGTTGATTTTAGATCTTTCCAGCTTTCTGTTGTGGGTATTTAGTGCTATAAATTTACCTCTTAACACTGCTTTAGCTGTGTTAGATTCTGGTCCCAGAGATTCTGATACACTGTGTCTTTGTTCTCATTGGTTTCAAAGAACTTATTTACTTCTGCCTTCATTTCGTTATTTACCCAGTAGTCATTCAGGAGCAGGTTGTTCAATTTCCATGTAGTTGTGAGGTTTTGAATGCGTTTCTTAATCCTGAGTTCTAATTTGATTGTCCTGTGGTCTGAGAGACTGTTTGGTATGATTTTCATTCTTTTGCATTTGCTGAGGAACGTTTTACTTCCAATTATGTGGTCAATTTTAGAATACGTGCTGTGTGGCACTGAGAAGAATTTATATTCTGTTGATTTGGTGTGGAGAGTACTGTAGATGTCCATTAGGTCTGCTTGGTCCAGAGCTGAGTTCAAGTCCTGAATATCCTTATTAATTTTCTGTCTCCTTGATCTGTCTAATATTAACAGAGGGGTGTTAAAGTCTCCCACTATTATTGTGTGGGAGTCTAAGTCTCTTTGTAGATCTCTAAGAACTTGTTTTATGAATCTGGGCACTCGTGTATTGGGTGCTTATATGTTTAGGATAGTTAATTCTTCTTGTTGCATTGATCCCTTTACCATTATGTAATGCCCTTCTTTTTATTTTTTGATCTTTTTTGGTTTAAAGTCTATTTTATCAGAGACTAGGATTGCAACCCCAGCTTTTTTTTTTCTTTTCATTTGTTTGGTAAATATTCCTGCATACCTTTATTTTGAGCCTATATGTGTCTTTGCATGTGAGATAGGTCTCCTGAATACAGCACACTGATAGGTCTTGACTCTTTATCCAGTTAGCCAGTCTATGTCTTTAAATTGGGGCATTTAGCCCATTTAAATTTAAGGTTAATATTGTTATGTGTGAATTTGATCCTGTCATCATGATGCTAGCTGGTTATTTTTCATGTTAGTTGATGCAGTTTCTTCATAGTGTCATTGGTCTTTATATTTTGGTGTGTTTTTACAGTGGCTGGTACCAGTTTTTCCTTTCCATATTTAGTGCTTCCTTCAGGAGCTCTTGTAAGGCAGGCATGGTGGTGATGAAATCCCTCAGCATTTGCTTGTCTGTAAAGGATTTTCTTTCTCATTCGCTTATGAAGCTTACTTTGGCTGGATATGAAATTCTGGGTTGAAAATTCTTTTCTTCAAGAATGTTGAATATTGGCCCGTACTCTCTTCTGGCTTGTAGGATTTTCACAGAGAAATCTGCTGTTAGTCTGATGGGCTTACCTTTGTATTTAACCTGACCTTTCTGTCTGGCTGCCCTTAACATTTTGTCCTTCATTTCAACCTTGGAGAATCTGACGATTATGTGTCTTGGGGTTGCTCTTCTTGAGGAGTATCTTAGCAATGTTCTCTGTATTTCCTCAATTTGAATGTTGGTCTGTCTTGCTAGGTTGGGGAAGTTCTCCTGGGTAATATCCTGAAATGTGTTTTCCAACTTGGTTCCATTCTCCCTGCCACTTTCAGATACACCAACCAATCACAGGTTTGGTCTTTTCATGTAGTGCTATATTTCCTGGAGGGTTTGTTCATTCCTTTTCATTCTTTTTTCTCTAAGCTTGTCTTCATGCCTTAGTTCAGTAAGTTGATCTTCAATCTTTGATATCCTTTCTTCTGTTTGATTGATTCAGCTATTGACACTTGTGTATGCTTCATGAAGTTCTTGTGTTTGTGCTGTGTTTTTCAGCCCCATCTGGCCATTTAAGTTCCTCTCTAAACTGTTTATTCTAGTTAGCAGTTCCTGTAACCTTTTATCAAGGTTCTTAACTTCCTTGCATTGGGTTAGAATATACTCTGTTAGCTCAGAGGAGTTTGTTATTATCCACCTTCTGAAGCCTACTTCTGTCAATTCATCAGTCTGATTCTCCAGCCACTTTTGTGCCCTTGCTGGAGAGGAGTTGTGGAGAAGAGGCATTCTGGTTTTTGGAATTTTTAGTGTTTTTATACTGGTTTTTACTCATCTTCATGGATTTATCTACCTTTGATCTTTGAGGCTGATGAGGTTTGGATGGGGTTTTTGTGTGGGGGTCCTTTATGTTTTTGTTGATGTTGTGGCTTTCTGTTTGTTAGCTTTTCTTCTAACAGTCATGCCCCTCTTCTGCAGGTCTGCTGCAGTTTGCTGGAGGTCCACTTCAGACCCTGTTCACCTGGGTATCACCAGTGGAGGCTGCAAAACAGCAAAGACTGCTGCCTGCTCCTTCCTCTGGAAGCTTCATCCCAGAGGGGCACTGGCCTGATGCCAGCTAGAGCTCTCCTTTATGAGGTCTCTGTTGAACCCTGTTAGGAGATTTCTCTCAGTCAGGAGGCTCAGGGGTCAAGGACTCACTTGAGGAGGCAGTCTGTCCCTTAGCAGAGCTGGTGTGCTGTGCTGGCAGAATCCCTCTTGTCAGGATCAGCTGCTCTCTTCGGAGCCAGCAGGCAGGAACAATTAAATCAGCTGAAGCTGTGCCCACAGCTGCCCCTTCCCCCAGGTGCTCTTTCCCAGGGAGATGGGGGTTTTGTCTGTAAGCCCCTGACTGGGGCTGTTACCTTTCCTTCGGAGATGCCCTGCCCAGTGAGGAGGAATTTAGAGAAGCAGTCTGACCACAGCTATTTTGCCACATCCAGCCCAGACCTTTCAGCCTCCTTAGCAATTTCAGGGGAAAATCTCCTACTAAAGCCTCAGTAATGGGGGTGGATGCCCTTCCCAAGCTCAATCGCCCAGGTCAACTTCATACTGCTGTGCTAGCACTGAGAATTTCAAGCCAGTGGTTCTCAGCTTGCTTAGCTCTGTGGGAGTGAGACCTGCTGAGAGAGACCACTTGGCTCCCGGGCTTCAACCCCCTTTCCAGGGTGAGTGAACGGTTCTGTCTCGCTGGGGTTCCAGGTGCCTCTGGGGTATGAAAAAAAAACTCCTGCAGCTAGCTCAGTGTCTGCCCAAACAGCCACCCAGTTTTGTGCTTGAAACCCAGGGCCCTAGTTGTGCAGGCATAGGAGGAAATCTCCTGATCTGCAGATTGCAAAAACTGTGGGAAAAGCATAGTAACCCAGCTGGGCAGCACAGTTCCTCATGGCTTCCCTTAGCTGTGGGTAGGGAGGAAGGATCCCAGTCCCTTGCACTTCCCAGGCAAAGTGACGCCCCACCCTGCTTCTGCTCACTCTCTGTGGGTTGTACCCACTGCCTAAGCAGTCACAATGAGATGAACTGGGTACCTCAGTTGGAAATGCAGAAATCACCTGCCTTCTGCATTGGTCTCTTGTTGGCAGCTGCAGACTAAAGCTGTTTCTATTTGGCCATCTTGTCCACTCCCTAAAATTTTTTTTTTATAGAGTCTTGCTCTGTTGCCCAGGTTGGAGTGCAGTGGCATGATCTTGGCTCACTGAAACCTCCACCTTCTAGGTTCAAGCAATTCTCATGCTTCAGCCTTCCGAGTAGCTGGGATTACAAGTGTGAACCACCATGCCTGGCTAATTTTTGTGTTTTTAGTAGAGACAGGGTTTCACCAAGTTGCCCAGGCTGGTTTCGAGCTCCTGACCTCAAGTGATCTGCTCACCTTGACCTCCCAAAGTGTTGGGATTAAAGGTGTGAGCCATTGTGCTTAGCCAGGAACCACAATCTTAAGAGCTAATGTTGTAGATCAACTTTATCTCTTCATACATGTGTTTTATTCAGAATACTTTAAACATTTACACAATAACCATAATAGCATAATAGACTGATGCTCAACTTCAATATCTGCTAATTGTGTGTCTTTTTTTTTTTTTTTTGAAACAGAGTCTCACTGTCAACCAGGCTGGAGTGCAATGGCACAATCTTGGCTCACTGTAACCTCCGCCTCCTGGGTTCAAGCAATTCTCCTGTCTCAGCCTCCTGAGTAGCTGGCATTACAGGAGCGTGCCATCATGCCTGGTTAATCTTTGTCTTGTTTTGTTTTGTTTCTTTGAGACAGAGTCTCACTGTCACCCAGGCTGGAGTGCAGTGCCATGATCTCGGCTTACTGCAACCTCCATCTCCCAGGTTCAAGCAATTCTGCTGCCTTAGCCTCCTGAGTAGCTGAGACTATAGGTGCATGCCACCATACCCGGCTAATTTTTTGTATTTTTAGTAGAGACAGGGTTTCACCATGTTAGCCAGGATGGTCTCGATCTCCTGACCTCATGATCTGCCCGCCTCAGCCTCCCAAAGTGCTAGGATTACAGGTGTGAGCCACCACGCCTGGCCTAATTTTTATATTTTTAGTAAAGATAGGATTTCACCATGTTGGTCAGGCTGGTCTAGAACTCCTGACCTCAGGTTATCTGCCTGCCTCGGCCTCCCAAAGTGCTGGGATTACAGGCATGAGCCACTGCACCTGGCCTATGTGTCATTTTTGTTTAATCTCTACTTCAATCTATTCCCCATTTCCACTTTTTTCTCAGTTTTTGTGTGTGTGTGTGTGAGATAGGATGTATAGGCACTGAAACGTACCATCTTAGTTATACCTTTTAGACAAACCAGTACACCCATATAATTATTTCCCCTTTTAAGAATAGAATTACTCCAACATAACAACCATTAATGTGCATGTGAATCACCTGGAAATACATAAAATCCAGGTTTTGATACAACATACCTGTATCTTGTCTGAAATTTTGTATTTCTAACAAACTACAGACCAACAGAGTACATGGTAACTGCAAAGGTTTCTTTTATCTAAAGTGTATAAAATTTGATAATTAAAATTATGAAAAATTGACCTCAGGTAAAAGAACAAATTAAAACAGGTGTGCAATATGGTATCTGTAAGAGCATTTGGTTAACAATGACTCACATTCATAGTTGGCCTTTGCAGAATTACCCAAAACTCAGTCATTTACACACCAAGTGTACATAATTTTCATAGCTTCTCATTAAAATTAGATTGTAATGCCTTTATAAAAATCTGACTGAATTTTCTTATAAAATTAAGTAGCAACATTTTTATATAACATTATAAATTCTATTTATGTTAAACATAAACTTACATAATTTTATTAGGCAGTGTCTGTGTGTCTACCACCCAATATTATTTTGGGTTCCAGCATTTGCACAGGCACCTCAGCTAAGGAGCACAGATTAACCAGAACCAAGATGTTCCCTGCATCTTCTTGTTTCTCAGGGTATCCGTTTATCAGTCAACCAAGTTACGTAAGAATGGAGGTCATGTATTCCCTAGCATAGAGGGTCTCATGGGCACTCTCCTTAGAGGAGGAA
Source organism: Homo sapiens (assembly GCF_000001405.40). NCBI lineage: Eukaryota > Metazoa > Chordata > Mammalia > Primates > Hominidae > Homo > Homo sapiens. The sequence continues at coordinate 329,248 of NW_003315962.1, read as the reverse complement.
GAGACTGGGAGATCCAGTTAGGGGGTACTTCCTTGGACATGGGCTAAGCCCCCTAAGAGGTAAGGGCTCTGATCAGCAGGTGCAAACTTCTCAGGAGGGAAAATGATGCCGCCATTCTGAACCTGGAGCTCCACCAGCCCTTGTCCCATCTCAAGACAATTCTGAGAGTTTACTCTAGAACATGTCTGGATTGTGGAGGTTGGGAAACAATATGGGCTTTGATGGAACTGAGGTAAGGTCTCCCATGGGGAGGGAGGAGATCGATGCTCAGCATTCTTGGTGACCTGTGGACAAAGGGTTGCCTCTTTAGGTCCAAGTTCATTTTCACTGCAGAGGAGGCTTGAGTGTCTGAATGGTTCCCAGATCCCATCTATGATTCTTTTGGAGAGTGGGGTCTGGAAAGTACTGAGTCTCAGCATTTTTGGAAAATTCTGAAAAGTTCATTTGGGAGTCTGGGAAGGCCTCTTGCCTCATTCCTGAATGCTAGATTTGCTGTCCTGGCCACATATATGCTCGACAGCAAGCAATCTGAGTTTGCATTTATACCAAGACAACCATAAGACAAGTTGTAGTGGCCAGGACAGGTGTCTTGGTGGCACACTAGGGTACATTATGAGAGCAAACTTCAAGCCTGTTGATAGTCAGCTTGGCAAAGAGGGTTGAGTCCTGGCCCAAGTGGTTAGGTAAAGCATGGGGCCAATTAATAAATCCACCTTCAGTTCTTCAGCTGTTCATGAATTAAGAGAGAAACCAGTTCATGACTTGATAAGAGGCCCTGCTAGGCGGATGGATGACACTCTGGGTTTATTGACTTCTTGCTAACTCATGACAGCAGATTCAGAACAAATCTATTCTCAGGATTTGTGGATAGGCACTACCCTGCTAGAATGATGTGGGAGATATGGTGTTCAAATAAAAGGTGTTAGCCACCCCTAAAAATTAAGAGCAAAATTACAAACTTAATTACAAAAAGACACGGGACCTATAATAACATTTCACAGTAAAAGAAGTAAAAATTGTCATTGTCTACATAAAGAGGCATCCAACTTTAATGGTGGTTAAAAAATAATTACAAAATATATGAGTTTGTGTGACCATCAGTTTGGAAATTTAAATGTTCCTTAATACGGTCTCTATGTTATCAGAGGAAACCTGCTGTTTTGTGCATGCTTGTAAGGAGTATAAATGGCCAATTACCTTTTGAAAGATAATTTTAAAATATGTATCAAGCGTGGAAAGACACATGATCTTACATAAAGGATTCTACCTCCTGGAAGGCATCTCATAAAACACTTGAACATCTGTGCAGAAATCCCCATACCTAGCATGTTCTTGGTGGGCATGTACATAATAGCAAAGAGAAAAAGAAAACAGAAGCAGAAGAATCCAAAAAAGCAGCAGCAGCAGGAGAAGGAGAAGAGGAGGAGGAGGAGGAGGAGGAGAAAAAGGAGGAGGAGGAGGAGAAGGAGGAGGAGGAGGAGAAAAAGGAGGAGGAGAAGGAGAAGAAGAAGGAGAAGAAGAAGAAGAAGAGGAAGAAGAAGAAGAGGAAGAAGAGTAAAAAGGAAGGTACACATACATGAAAAATATTTTTTACCATCCTGATTTCTTTTTTTTTTTTTTGGAGACAGAGTCTCTCTCTGTTACCCAGGCTGGAGTGCAGTGGTGCAATCCTGGCTCACTGCAACCTCTGCCTCCTGGGTTCAAGCAATTATCCTGCCTCAGGCTCCTGAGTAGTGGGCACTACAGGCACACACCACCAAGCCAGGCTAATTTTTGTATTTTCAGTACAGATGGAGTTTCACCATGTTGGTGAGGCTGGGCTCGAACTCCTGACCTCAGGTGATCCACCCGCCTCGGCCTCCCAAAGTGCTGGGATTACAGGCGTGAGCCATCGCACCTGGCCGAACATCCTGATTTTTAAGATGATCATCACTCATTCATAAAGGGCACAGGAGTAAAACAAGTCAGGGGATCCTCAAAGAGCAACTAAGCAGGAAACAAAGGGAAAAAAACACCTCAGAGCCACCAGATTCTCTCATTACTTTTCAGTTTTGCTGATGCTTCAGTTCATATCTGCTGCACAAATTCTGCAGTAGAATCTTCCTTCCAAGATTTTCTTGCTTGCTGAGTAAACTATGTTAAGTGTTTGTATGTGTCTCAACTTTCTGTCACCACCCAGGGAAGGAACAGCAGGGGCACTGTCCTCGCTCATATTTTGCTGTGAGGAAAGCAATGAAGGTCTTCTGAACTTTGTGAAGGTATCTTCTGCCTTCATGTCAAATCCAGCCCCCAACTCCAAGCATCCTTGCATGGTTTCTTCATGTCCAATCAAGATGGGCTTTCATTTGTAATCTACTGCAATTGTGCCTGCCACATGCAGTTTCAAGGTATCCTCATACACCTGCTCACAATGATCCTCCAGGAATAGAATGAGCTCCTGAGAGAGGAACTCAGGAGTATGCTGGGCTCTTCATGTATTTTTTTTTTTTGAAACAGAGTCTCGCTCTGTCACCAGGTTGGAGTGTAGTGGCACGATCTCAGCTCACTGCAACCTCCACCTCCCAGGTTCAAGCGATTCTCCTGCCTCAGCCTCCTGAGCAGCTGGAACTATAGGCACGCCTGGCTAATTTTTTTTTTTGTATTTTTCAGTAGAGATGGGGTTTCACCGTGTTAGTCAGGATGGTCTCGATTTCCTGACATCATGATCTGCCCCCCTCGGCCTCCCAAAGTGCTGGGATTACAGGCGTGAGCCACCGCACCCAGACTCTTCATGTATTTCTATTATGTTTCTCTCTCCACTCTTAAAGAGGGCTGTGGACACAGAGTAAAGAAGGAGACACTAAAATTCCAAAGTCTGGGTACGGTTTCAACCCTGCAGGTATCTGATCTTTGCCTTCATTCCTCCTGTTAGTCTTAGTAAAGAGTCCTGGAGTCTGCAGTTCCCAAGCCTTCCTTGGTTTCAGGTTCTGCTTGTCCTTATTTGGTTCAGGGGCTGTGGGACAGGACCACATTAGAGCACTTCACTGGGTACCTCCTGGTCCTGGCCATGTGCCCTAAGACCTGGTGGTTCTTGCACTTTCTCTGTGGATTGAGGAGAAAGGAGGTCAGTGAGTCAGTATCATCACAGGCAGCTTTCAAAGGTTAATGTTGCAACAGTTTTTTGGATCTGTTTATTATTTTTAGGACTAGACCCAGACAAGTACCATACTGGGTTTCTAAAGATTCATGATGTAGGCTACGTGTGGTGGCTCATGCCTGTAATCCCAGTGCTTTGGGAGGCCAAGGCGGGCGGATCATGAGGTCAGAAGTTTGAGACCAGCCTGGCCAACATGGCGAAACCCCATCTATACTAAAAATACAAAAAATTAGCTGGGTGTGGTGGCAGGCGCCTGTAATCCCAGCTACTCAGGAGGCTGAGGCAAGAGAATCGCTTGAACCTGGGAGGTGGAGGTTCCAGTGAGTTCAGACCACGCCACTGCACTCCAGTCTGGCTAACAGAGCTAGACACCATCTCAAAAAAAAAAAAAAGTTTCATGATGTAATAGTTATATCCACAACCTATTTTAAACAAAGAAACAAGAACAAAGAACCAAAATGTGTTAGGGTTGTGATAATAATCTAGCCAAATTTGTCAGCTCAGATAGTGAATGCTGAGCAAATTCTACAGAAGACAATGTAGCACCCAGGATGACTGAGGGAGGGTGAGGTAGAGGAGAAGCTTGCTTCTCCAGCTGGGCTCTTTGCTGCCTTAGGAATCAGTGGTTGATTGAGTTAGCACTGGCTCCTATCTGATCAATTCAATGTGATCACATTTGATTTAAGTATCTCTTCAACATTCAAGAGACAAAGGCATATTCTATTTGGAGTTTGGTTGTTCTGCATTTTATTTTATTGTATATTTATCAAATGCAATCAACTATAATTTGATATGTCATTTCCAAGCATTTGAAAAATTGTGACATATAGGTATACAATTTTAATGGTATATGTAATTTTCTTTTTTCTTTTTTTTTCTTTTTTTTTTTTTTTTTTTGAGACAGAGTCTCACTCTGTCACCCAGGCTGGAGTGCAATGGTGCAATCTTGGCTCACTGCAACCTCTGCCTCCTGGGTTCAACCGATTCTCTCACCTCTGCCTCCCGAGTAGCTGGGATTACAGGCACATGTCACCCACATCCAGCTCATTTTTGTATTTTTAGTAAAGCCGGGGTTTCACTACGTTGGCCAGGCTGGCCTTGAACTTCTGGCCTCAAGTGATCCGCCCGCCTCAACCTCATAAAGTGCTGAGATTACAGGTGTGAGCCACCGTGCCTGGCCTTTATGTAATTTTCTTTATGTGTACAATTTAAATATACCTGTTAATATATGGTCTGTTTAATTTAGCATTTTAAAATCTGGCCAAGGTTTTTAATAGTTCTGGGTGAAAAGAGGGCTAGAAATCAAAAGGGGATGAGTCTCTTGACTTTCAATTTTCATGCCTACTGGTTTTTTTTTTTTCTTTTGAGGCAGAGTTTCACTCTTGTCACCCAGGCTTCAGTGCAATGGCATGATCTCGGCTCACTGCAACCTCCACCTCCTGGGTTCATGCGATTCTCCTGCCTCAGCCTCCAAAGTAGCTGAGATTACAGTCACTCGCCACCACACCTGGCTAATTTTTGTATGTTTAGTAGAGATGGGGTTTCGCCATGTTGGCCAGGCTGGTCTCGAACTCCTGACCTCAGGTGATCCACCCACCTTGGCCTCCCTAAGTGCTTTGGTTACAGGTGTGAGCCACCTCACCTGGCTGGTTTTGTTATTTTGGTTTTTGATGCTATGACAGGACCCTGAAAAAATCTCCCCTTATGTGTGTCTAAGGTACCCAGTAAATCACAACCTGAAACATTCCTTATGAAGGCCATAATGTCTCCAGGAAATAAATTTCTTGTCATAAGAGTGAGCCGTACCCAGCTGAGGGGCTTATAAAAGGCAAGTCCAGCATAACACCCTGCATTCTGAGTCTGGATGTGTAAGAGAGAGGACATTTCATTTGAGTTTCAACATGGAATGGGAAACTGAAGACCAAGATCTTCTCTACCTCTTCATCCAAGGCCCCACTTGCCAGCTCCATTTTCAACAAATCTTTTTTACAGATAGAAGCTTAGATGAGGAGGAGAAACTATTTGAAAAAAGACAAGGTGCTCTCTTCCCATTCCAGTAGGTAATGCACTCAAATGCCAGATAAGGCCTTGGGCTGTTCATATTAAGATCAGAAAGAGTGGTGGAATGAGGGATAGTAAGCTGTGTGTCTTTGGTAGGGTTTTATTTTGAGCTAGGGAATGAGAAATGGCTTATATCCCTGAGATGGCTTTGAGAATTGTAGTAATGATCCCTTGGAACCGTATTCTTCTCATTAACTCTTGATGCTTGCTGAACAGCCTTAGTTAAGAAAATGAACAACAAATGTAAGTCAGGAATAGACTATGGGACTCTGGATCTAGAGAGATTTGAGTCACCTAAACTTCCTTTCTGACTAGGACCAGACCACAATCCAAATAAGAAAGAGAATTACAGAAAACTAAGCTCAAAACCAGAAACAGCACCGCTAGATCAGGTAGGATTTGAATCAAGGTGAGAAGAGATAGGATATAGATGAACACAGTCTCCCCTGGAAAAACATTGAGAGCTTTTTTAAATGCAGAGTTTTACAGATCCTGGACTCTGGAGAACAGAGAACTGAGTTTTGGTGACAATCTTGGCTTCAGTGCATCCACAATGGACTAGGGCTTCTAAGGTGTTCAGTTCGAAGCACTCACCTGCACTTTGTTTTTTTGTTTGTTTTGTTTGTTTTTGTTTTTGTTTTTTTTGGAGACAGGGTCTCACTCTTTCACTGAGGCTGGAGTGCGGAGGCATGATCTCGCCTCACTGCAACCTCTGCCTCCCGGGTTCAAGTGAGTCTCCTGCCTCAGCCTCCTGAGTTGCTGGGATTAAAGGCATGTGCCACCAGGCCTGGCTAATTTTTGTATTTTTAGTAGAGACAGGGTTTCCCTATGTTGGCCAGGCTGGTCTCGAACTCTTGATCTCGTGATCCACCCACCTTGGCCTCCTAAAGTGCTGGGATTACAGGCGTGAGTCACTGCACCTGGCTGCTTTCTTTTATTTTACATGTTTCAATCGATTTTATTTTATTGTAGAAAATTTTAAATTTGATATATGTTTTGGGTTTTTTTTAACCATATTCTTGTTTTATTTTTCTGGTAAAATACATATTTTTATTGTAATAAAATGAGAAATGTAAAGATTTCTTTTGGCTGTAATGTAAGAGTTAAGGGAAGTAGAAGCAGGAGAGTGATAGAATTTTTATTCACTTTTAATGACAAAATATTAATAATAGTTCTCGTCAGAACAATCAGTCAAGAACAAGAAATAAAAGGCATCCAAATTACGGGAAAAAAAGTCAAACTATCTCTTTCTATGGATTATCTAATTTGATACCTAAAAACACCTAATAACTTTACTAAAGAGCTCCTGGAACTTATCAGCAAGTTCAGTAGTGTTTCAGAATACCAAGTCAATACGCAAAAGTCATTTTTATTCACCAATATTATTGAAGCTGAGGGCCAAATCAAGAACTCAATCCCATTTAACTTGCCACAAAAAAATACCTAAGAATGCATATAACCCAGGAGGTGAACAATTATCACAAAGAGAACTACAAAATACTGCTAAGAGAAATCATAGATGACATAAACAAATGGAAGTACATTATATTCACATGGATTAAAAGAATCAATATTAAAATGACCCCATTGGCCAAATTAATCTACAGATTCAATGCTATCTCTATCAAACTGCCAATAAAACTTTTCAGAGAATTAAAAAAAAAACTATTCTAAAATTTATATAAAACAATAAAGAGCATAAATACCCAAAACAATCTTAAGCAAAAAGAGCAAAGCCAGAGACAGCACTCTACCCAAATTTAAACTATACTATATGGCTACAGGAACCAAAGAAGCATATTACTGGTATAAAAGCAGACAGAGACCAGTGGAACAGAATACAAAACTCAGAAATAAAGCTACACACCTACAGCCATATAATTTTTGACAACATTGACAAAAATAAGCAATGGAAATAAGACTGTCTATTTAATAAATGGTGCTGGGATAACCAGCTAACCGTATGCGGAAAAAAATACTAGATAATACTGAACCCCTACAATTTGCCATATACAAAAATTAACACAAGATGAATTAAGGATTTAAATTTAAGACATCAAACTATAAAAATCCTACAAAAAAACCTACTAAATATCTTTTTTGACATTGGCCTTGGCAAAGAATTTTTGACTAAGTCTCCAAAAGTAAGCAAGAAAAACAAAAAGTGACAATTTCCCAACTTCCTAACTATTCTAAAGAGCTTCTGCACAGCAAAAGAAACTATCAACAGAGTAAACAGACAACCTACAGAATGAGAGTAAATGTTTGCAAACTATGCATTTGACAAGTCTAATTTCCAGAACCTATAAAAAAATTAATTAAAGAAGAATAAATAACCCCACAAAGATGAGCAAAAGACATAAACTGATACTTCTCAAAAGAAAACTTACAAGAAGCCAACAAACATAAAAATATGCTCCATATTCCTAAACATAATTTTGCTTTCAATGAATAGTTTTAGATCCCTGCTGTCTAGAAAATTTGGGGAATTTGTTAGTATAAAAAAAGAATTTTTTTGGCTGGGCGCGGTGGTGCATGCTTGTAATCCCAGCACTTTGGGAGGCCGTGGCAGGTGGTTCACCTGACGTCAGGAGTTTGAGACCAGCCTGACCAACATGGTGAAACCCCATCTCTACTAAAAATACAAAATTAGCGAGGCGTGGTGGGACATGCCTATAATCCCAGCTACTCAGGAGGCTAAGACAGGAGAATCGCTTGAACCTGGGAGGCAGAGGTTGCAGTGAGCCAAAATCATGGCACTGCACTTCAATCTGGGCAACAAGAGCAAAACTGTCTCAAAAAAAAAAAAAAAAGTAGTGCAGTGGTCTTGGCTGGTCTTGAACCCTTGACCTCATGATCTACCCACCTTGGCCTCCCAAAGTGCTGGGATTACAGGCATGAGCCACCGTGCCCCGCCCAATATGTTTTATTTTGAGATTAACCTTTTTTTCTTGAATGATTGACATTCTTCACTCTAGTTTAGTGGTAATTATAGAAATTTAGTAGCATAAAATGTTGCTCATATTTTAAAATCCAATTTTCACCACCAGCTTTTGATTCAGTAGTACTACTGGGTAGTGAGCTAAGGACCCACAAATTTAAAATACTTTCTAAATATTCTAAAGATTCTGTCGAAGAAAAGGTATTTTGATATTAACTTTACATTATCTGTAATATTCTTTTTCTTTAGTAAGCACAGTACTAAGTACTAGTCTGGTAATTGGAGAATCCAGCAAAACTCATGTTTCCTTTTTCTAATAAGACAGATCTTGCTGTGTCTAATCTGGGCCTGATCAACTCTCTGAAGCAAAGGAAAGAATCTTGGAATTTAGAAAGACAAGAGACCATAGCCAGCACCTAGGTAGGCGGGAGTGAAAGAAGATGACACAGCTGAGGTCCAAAGGTGAAGAAGAAAGCCAGACCATAAAATGTGGTTTAGGAAGGTCTGCTGCAATAGAAATAGTTTCTAAAATGCCTGATTTCTTTTCTCATACCCAAACAGTGGGGCAGCTTCTGTCCCATGGTCTTAAATCCCCCAAGAATTCTACTTTAATTTAATCTTCCTTCAAGCTTATACTTAGAGCTGAAGTCCATCTTATGGTTTATAAGAGGTTGAATAATCTGACAGGTCTTCCATTGCTATTGGGGGACATGAGACTATTTGTCTTTTAGAGAAACTCTGTATGAAACTATTTTAAATCCTTTCTACATCATTGCTGAAATGTGTGAAAGCAGTAGTGATATTGAAATTTGGTTTCAAAATCGCAAGAACACCAGATAAAGATGTGAGTTTTCTACTTTATGACTTTCTATTCTGTGATGGTTTCAGATGTGTTTCTAGAGATATTTGTACTCAGTAACTTTATCAGAACACTAAGTACCTCTGTAAATGTAAGAAAATCTATTTTTTTTTTTTAATTTTCAGGTTTTTTTTTGTTTTGTTTTGTTTTTGAGATGGAGTTTAGCTCTTGTTGCCCAGCCTGGAGTGCAATGGCATGATCTTGGCTCACTACAACCCCTGCCTCCCGGGTTCAAGCGATTCTCCTGCCTCAGCCTCCCAAGTAGCTGGCATTATAGGCACCTGCCACCACGCCCAGCTAAGTTTGTATTTTTAGTAGAGATGAGGTTTCACCATGATGGTCAGGCTGTTCTTGAACTCCTGACCTTAGGTGATCAATCCACCTCGACCTCCCTAAGTGCTGGGATTACAGGCGTGAGCCACTGCACCTGGCCCCGATTTTCAGTTTTTTTAATATAAATTGAGATAGGTAATTTAAACACTACATGACCAAATTTCTTATGGTAATGTAGCTTAATGTATTTATTGCATATATAATATATGTACATATATTATATATATGTACACATGTATATATTATATATACATATATTATATATGTACACATGTATATATTGTATATATGTACACATGTATATATTATATATGTACACATGTATATATTATATATATGTACACATGTATATATTATATATGTGTATATATATATATTTTAAAAGGAGTATCACTCTGTTGCCAGGCTGGAGTGCAGTGGCATGATCTCGGCTCACTGCAACCTCCCAGGTTCGAGTGATTCACCTGCCTCAGCCTTCTGAGTAGCTGGGATTACAGGCACATACCACCACACCCAGCTTATTTTTGTATTTCTAATAGAGACGTGGTTTCACCATGTTGGCCAGGATGGTCTCGATCTCTTGACCTTGTGATCTGCCTGCCTTGGGCTCCCAAAATGCTGGGATTACAGGCATGAGCCACCGCACCCAGGCTACCGTGTATATTTTTACAATATACTGTGTCATTGGGAAGCTTAGAAAATTGCTGAAGGCCAGGTGCCATGGCTCATGTCTGTAATCCCAGCACTTTGGGAGGCTAGGGTGAAAAAAACACTTGAGCCCACGAGATTGAGACCAGCCTGGGTAACACAGCAAGACTTTGTTTCTATAAAGAATTACCAAAAAATTAATTTATTTGTATGTACATTTAAAAGGAGGAGATTGATTTTTCTTCTGGAGAGTTATAATTACATTCAAAGCATACTTTTTGCATTAAAAAATTAAAATTCTTGAAAAGCAAACATTGATGCAATTCAACTCTTTTTTATTTTTTTGAGACAGAGCCTCACTCTGTCACCCAGGCTGGAGTGCAGTGGCACGATCTTGGCTCACTGCAACCTCTGCAGCCCAGCTTCAGGCGATTCACCTGCCTCAGCTTCTCAAGTAGCTGGGATTAAAGGCACCTTCCACTGCGCCTGGCTAATTTTTGCAGTTTTTAGTAGAGATGGGGTTTCACCATCTTGGCAAGGCTGGTCTTGAACTCCTGACCTCATGATCCACCTGCCTCAGCCTCCCAAAATACTGGGATTACAGGCGTGAGCCACCATGCCCGGCTGCAATTCAACTCTTAGATCACTTGTTATGCCTTCATTCTTAGTGTGTATACAAAAGCACATGGTTAGTTTTTGCTTCATCAGACCTATAAGAGGCACATCTCTATTAGACAAGCATCATTCACATAGTTTTTCATAGACACTGAAATGTAAGACATATCAAGAGATTCTAAGTGGGGAAGTGCTTTGTGGTTGATTAACAACAGCATGTGATACATGGGGTAGGTTTTTAGAGTAAGATTCCATGCATTATAGTAAGGGAGAAACATTTTAGATCTTCAATTCAAGTTGTTTTTCCAATTGCTTATTAAAATAATAAGATACAGTGGATTTAAAAAAAAATTTAGATTCTGTGTGAACTTAATTTGTTTTAATTAAGCATAATTGTTTTTGTTTCTACTATTGTGCATTGAACAAAGTATTATTTTTTTACCAGTGTTAACCTATCCAACCTAACTGAAGCTTGTAGGTAACAGATGATAACAATACACTATTGGTTAACATAGTTGAATAACATTTTTAGGGATCCCTTTTTTCAATAACTTTAAACATCAAACAGTTTAAAGAATATTGTTTCTATTGGTAATATTTTTATTCTTTTTGTAACTACAGGGCCATTATAATGGTAATAATGAAGATTATATAAAAGTACAATTTAAAGCCATGTATTTCTGAATATTGAATGAGTATTTACAAAATTTTATTCCACTTTTTTTTTTGCACATGTCACCTTTCTGACTTGCAAAATATATGCAGACTGATAGTCTTGTTTTACAAGGATAAAATATACAAATATATTCCTCTAAGGATAAATCTTAGAAGTAAAGGAGTTACGGAGTAAGTAATTGTGTTTGTGTGAGTTTGGGTGTATACCTATTTTGCAAAGAAAAGAAAAATATTGAAATAAAACATAATTTCCAAAGTGTTGATAATTTACTAAAAAGGCAAAAATGTCAAAAATTCTGAAAGCGAGTCTATTTTCTTTGCTTTATGTCGAGCTCACTTCTCTGAGATTTTATTGGTCCTCCATAGGATTCTCCCCATGCAAATCCCCCCGCCTTTTTTTTTTTTTTGAGATGGAGTCTCACCGTGTCACCAGGCCGGAGTGCAGTGGCATGATCTTGGCTCACCGCAGTCTCTGCCTCCCGGCTTCAAGTGATTCTCCTGCCTCAAGCTCCACAATAGCTGGGACTACAGGCGAGCGCCGCCATGCCCAGCTACGTTTTGTGTTTTTAGTAGAGACAGGGTTTCACAATGTTGGCCAGGATGGTCTCGATCTCTTGACTTCATGATCCGCCCACCTTAGCCTCCCAAAGTGCTGGGATTATAGGCGTGAGCCACCGCGCCCGGCCAATTGCTTTTTTTTCTTTAATATTAAAGGGAGTCTGGAGAAATAACTACAACAATCCCAGAACTGGCAAAGGGGCAAATGCTGGAAAACTCCAGGGTGGGAGAATGCCCATCACAGGGCCAAAGATCTGAGCAGATGACTCAAAAAAGAGAAAATCTTAATAGGTCTTAAACAACTGAAAGGTGACTCAAACGTGTCAGTTTAAAAACTGAAAGTGAAAGGGACAATGAGATTTTATTTGCCATATAGACACAAACTGACAACAAAAATTAAAAGAATGTAATATGCAGGAGAGCTTAGATACAGAGCAGCAGGTGCATCAGAGAATGCCAGCGCCGATGGACCTGCTACAGCCCTTTTGGAAAGTCATCTGGCTGTAACTGTGAACAGTTTACATAGACATCATTTAACCCAGTAATATATTTTCTGAGGATCTATCTTCAGATAATTAGTAAATGTTATGGGATAATTTGTTATTTTCTCAATTCCCAGGATAAATACTTTGTATCCTTCAATCCAATCAAGTTGACATTCAGTATTAACCATCACACCTGTGGACTCCATCCATGGATGAGTGTCACAATTCCAACTGTCAACTTTTCTGGGTGTGAGATTCAGAACCTCAACAGTGGGTTGTGTGCATGTGTGAGGCTGATAATTCTAACATTTGGTTGAGTATGCATACAAGAATCACAATTTTTCCTGTGTGCTGGGTTCTTTTATGACACTCTATGTACCAACCAAGTGCTTTATACAGCATGCATGAGAGCTGCAATCTTCCCTGAGACCTGCATGATGGTATAGACACATGATCTTACCTGTGGCCTTAAGCCCAACAGAAGAGTCAAAATGTTTCTTTTTTTTTTTTCTTTTTCAAGACAGAGTCTCGCTTTATTACCCAGGCTGGAGTGCGATGGTGCGATTTCAGGTCACTGCAAACTCCGCCTTCCGGGTTCAAGAGATTCTTATGCCTCAGTCTCCCAAGTAACAGGGACTACAGGTGTGTGCCACCACGCCTGGCTAATTTTTGTATTTTTAGTAGAGATAGGGTTTCATCATATTGGCCAGGCTTGTCTCAAACTCATGACCTCGTAATCAGCCCACCTCATCCTCCCAAAGTGTTGGGATTACAGGCATGAGCCACCGCACCTGGCCAAAAATGTTTCTTATTGGCTGGGTCCAGGTATGAGACTCATGATCATGCCTGTGGGCTTGGTCCAAAAATGAATGACCATCCCACCTGTGTCAAGATTCACATAGAAGAGTCACAATTCCAACTGTCCAGTATGTTTGGCTATAAAATTGGGGACCTCACTAGTGAGCTGTGTCCATGTGTAAGAGTAACAATCCTAACTTTCAACTGGGAGTGCATGAGAGCCACAGTCTCACTTGCGTGATGGGCACTGTTATGACACTCTACCACCTGAGAGTTTTACGTGATATGCTTGAGAGTCACAAACCTCTCTGTGACTTTTGTACAAGTATGAGATCCATGACCTTACCTATTTCCTTAAGGCTAGCTATGAGAGTCAGAATGTCTCCTCTTCACTGGGTCCAGGTATGAGAGTCATCATTGCCTGTGAGCTGGGTCCAGCTAAATCTTACAATTCCCCCTGTGAGCCTGGCTCAGGCAGAAGAGCTACATCACCTGAAGGCTGGGCCCATGTATATATCGCAATCTCTCTTATGGTCGAGGCCCAGCAGAAGAGTCACATCACCTAGGTGTGGGGCCCAGGTATATTAAAGTCCCCTGTTTGGCAGGTCCCAAGCAAGAGAGCCACATCACCTAGGTACTGGGCCCAGGTATGTGTCACAATCCCTCCTGTTGCTTGGGCTCATGTTGGAGATTCACATCACCTAGGTTCTGGAATTAGCTCTACATCACAATCCCACCTATGGCCTCAGCCCAGGCAGAAGAGTTACATAGCCTAGGTACCAGGTATGTGTCACAATCCCCACTATGGGCAGGTCCCAGGTAAGAGAGACACATTGTCTAGGTGCTTAGCCCTGGTATATTGTCACAATCTCTTTTGTTGGCTTGGCCCAGGTTAGATGTACACCTCACATAGGTGTTGAGCCCAGGTATGTGTCACAATACTCCCTGTGGGGTGGGCTCAGGCTAAAGAGTCACATCATCTAAGTGCTGGGCCCAGGTATATGTCACAATGCCCCTTGTGACTTTGGCCAGGCATGAGAGTCAGAACACATAGGTGCTTGGTTCAACTATATGTCACTATCCCATTTGTGGCCTTGACCTAGGTGAGAGAGTCGCATGACCTATGGTCTGGGCCCAGGTATATGTCACAATGTTCTCTGTGGATTGGGCCCATGCAGGACAGCCACATCACCTTAATTCCTGAGCCCAGGTATATGTCAGTCCCCCTGAGAACTTGACCTAAAAAAGGCTCAAATCACCTCAGTACTCGGCCCAGTATTATGTAATCCCACTTGTGGCTTTAGCCTAGGCAGCGGAGTCACATATCTTAGGTGCTGTGGTAAGAAATCTGTCAAAATCTTTTCTTGTGTTCTAGGTCCAGGCAAAGTGTAACATCACCTAGGTGCTGGACCCAGGTACATGCCACAATCTACCCTCTGGGTGGGACCCAGGAGGAAGAGCAACACAACTCAGAAGATGGGTTCAGGTATATGTCACAATTACCTGGAGGCAGGGCCCAGGCAGGAAAGTCACATTACCTAGGTGCTGGAAGCAGGTGTGTTACAATCCTCCCTTTGGACAGGGACCAGGAAGGAGAGCTACATCACCTAGGTGATGGAAACAGGTGTAGGCCCCAATTTCAAATGTGGGCAGGGATCAAGCAGAAAAGTCACATCCACAGGTGTGTCACAATACTCTCTTTGGGTAAAATCCAAGCAAGACACTCACATCACTTGGATGCCGAGCCCACCAATGTGTCACAATCTCCCCTGTGGGCAGAGCACAGACAGGAGACTCATATCACCTTGGTTCTGGGCCCACTGATATGTCACAATCCCACATGTGGGCAGAGACAGGGCAAGAGAGCCACATAACCTGGATGCTGGGCCAGGAATATGTCACAATCCTTTTTGTGGGCAAAGCTAAGGCAAAATAATTATACCACCTTGGTTCTGGGCCCAGAAATATGTTACAATTTCCTCTGTGGGCAGGGCCCAGGAAGAAGTGTCCCATCACCTGGGTGCTTGGCCCAGCAATAAGTTACAATCTTCTTTGAGGGTAGGACCAAGGGAGAAAAGGAGACACATCACATAGGTGTCGGCCCCTGTAATATGTCACAATCCCTACTGTGGGCAGAGCCCTGGCAGGAGAGGCATATCACCTGAGTGCTGAGCCCAGCGATATGTTACAATATCTCCTACGGGCAAGACCCAGGCAAGAGATTTACATCACCTGTGTGCTAGATCCAGTGATATATCACCATGCACCCTGAGGACAAGGCCCAGAAAAAGAGTCACATTACTGGGTGTTTGGCCCGGCAATATACCGTAATGCCCTGTGTGGGCAGGGCCCAGGCAGCAGAGCTATATCACCTGGGTGCTGGGCTCAGCGATGTGTCACAATCTCACCTGTGAGCAGAGCCCAGATAGGACAGGAGAGTCACATCACCTAGCTATGTCCAGCATTATAGCAAAATCCCCCATTATGACAGGGCCCAGGCAGGAGAGTCACATCACCTGAGAGCTTGGGCCCAGGTATATCTCACAATCCTATTTAGGAGCCAGACCCAGGCAGGAGAAGCACCTCACTCAGGTACTAGGCAAAGATATATCTCACAACCACATCTGTGGAAAGGTCCAGAGAAGAGCTTAACAATTCCACACATGTCCTGGCTTCAGGTATGAGAGTCAATGCCTGTGAGTTTGGTCCAAGTACATGAGTCAGTCTTAAGGGTTAGCTGGATTTGTGCATAAGATCCCCAATCCTGCCTGCAGGGGACTGTGTTTCAGTAAAGGAGTCACAGCCTCACCAGTGTTCTGAATCCTGGTCTGAGAGTCATTATCCAACTGTGGAAAACATTCACGTAGGAGAGTCACAATTTCAACTTTTGACTGAATCCAGGTGTGAGATTAAGAACTTCGACAGCGGGGTGGCTTTATGATAGAGGGTGACAATCCTTACTGTTGGCTGGGTGTGCATATGAGAGTCACAATCGCTTCTGTGTGCTGGGCCATGTTATGAAACTCTGTGTAACCCAAGGGCTTTATACAGTGTGCAAGACAGTTGCTATCTGCTCTGGAAATTTGTGCTGGTATGGAGCCAGGATCTTACTCATTGTCCTAGGTACAAGAGTCAACATCTCTCCTATTGGTTGGGTTCAGGTATGAAAGTCATCATTGTCCCTGTGTGCTGTGTCCAGAAATGAGTCAGCGTCACACCTGTGGCCAGGCCTACGTATGACAGTCACAATTCCAACTGTGTACTCCTGTGAGATCCAGGACCTCACCAGTGGGCTGTGTCCATGTTTGAGGGTGACAATTCTGGCAGCTGAGTGTGAATATGAGAGTCATAATCTCATCTGAGTGCTGTGTTTTTGTTTTTGTTTTTTGAGACGGACTCTTGCTCTGTCACCCAGGCTGGAGTGCAATGGCGCAACCTCGGCTCACTGCAACCTCTGCCTCCCGGGTTCAAGCAATTCTCCTGCCTCAACTTCCCGAGTAGCTGGGATTACAGTCATGCACCACCACACCTGGCTAATTTTTGTATTTTTAGTAGAGACGGGGTTTCACCATGTTGGCCAGGCTGGTCTCAAACTCCTGACTTCAGGTGATCTGCCCGCCTCAGCCTCCCAAAGTGCTGGGATTACAGGTGTGAGCCACTGTGCCCTGCTCCTATGTTCTGACACTCTCTGTACCACTCAAGGGCTTTATATGATATGTGTGAGTGTCATAATCCTCTGTTATCTTCATAAAAGTAAGAGACCCAGGACCTTACCAGTTGCCCTAAATGTATCTATGAGAATCAAAATCTCTCCTATTGGCTGGGTACAAGAATGAGTTATTTTCACAGCTGTGAGTTGAGCCCAGGTATGTCGCACTCTCACCTGTGGGAAGGAACAAGGCAAAAGAGTCACATCACCTAGGTGCTGGGCCCAGTGTTATGTCACAATTCTTCCGGTAGGCAGGGCCCAGGCAGGAGAGGTGAGTTACCTCACCTAGGTGATGGAAGCAGTGATATAATTCCTTCTGTGGGCCAGGCCCAGGCAGGAGTGTCACCTCACCTGTGTACTGTGCCCAGAAATATGTCACAATCTTTTGTGCATAAGGTCCCCCCAAAATAAGTGAAATGACCTAGATTACAGGCCCATAGATCTGTCACAAAGCCTTCTGTGGGCAGAGCCTAGGCAGGAAAGTGATATATCACTAGATGCAGCATGTAGGTGATGTGACTCTCCTTCCTGAACTCTATTCCCCAGGGGACATTGTGACACATCACTGGGCACAGCACACAGGTGATGTGACTTTTTTCCTGGGCCCTGATCTCAGGGGGCATTGTGACATATTGCCTTGCCCGGTACCCAGGGCAGGTATTAAGCAGGAGAGGAGACTAACACCACCTAGATGCTGGGCTCAGGCACATGTCACAATCCCATCTGTGAACAAACCCAGGCAGAAGAAGAGTAACATCTGGGTGCTGGGCCCAGTGATATGTCACAATGCAACCTGTGGTCAGGGGCCAGGCAAAAGAGGAGTCACATTACCTAGGTGCTAGGCCCAGTGATGTGTCACAGTCACCAATTGGGCAGGTCCTAGACAGGAGAGGAGAGTCACATCGCCTAGGTGCTGAGTCCAGTAATGTGTCATAGTCCCAGAGCAGGGAGGGGGCAGGAGAGGAGATTCACATCACCTAGAAGATTGGCCCAGATAGATGTCACAATTTCTCCTTTGGGCAGTGCTAAAGCAAGAAGGTTACATTACCTGGGTGCTGAGCCCAGCAATATTTTACAATCCTTAGGGCAGGGCTCAGGCAGAGAGGAGATTCACATCACATGGTTGATGGGCCTGGCGATAGGCCACCATGCCCTGTGTAGGCAGTGCACAGGCAGGAGAGTCACATTATCTGAGTGCTGGGTCGAGGAATATGTCACAATTTTCTCTGTAGGCAGGGCCCAGGCAGGAGAGGAGAGCCACATCACCTAGGTGCTGGGTTCAATGATATGTCACAATTCCCTTGAGGGCAGGGCTCAGGCAGGAGAGTCACATAACCTAGGTGCTTGGCCTGAGTATATGTCACAATCACATTTGTGGGCTTGGCCCAGGCAGGAGAGTCAAATCATTCAGATTCTAGGCAAAAATATCTGTCACAATTACACCCGCAGAAAGGTCCAGGGATGACATTTACAATCCTGCACATATCCCGGGTTATGTATGAGAGCCAGTATCTCCTGTGGGTTGGGTCCAAGAATGCAAAGCAGTCTGAATGCTGGACTGAATCCCTGCATGAGAGCCCCAATTCCACCTGAGGTCCAAGAGTCATTATTCCACCTGTGGACCACATCCATGTGTGAGAGTCACAATTCCAACCTTTGACTCACTCTTGGTGTGACATTCAAAACCTCCACAGTGGTCTGTGTCCATCTGGAAGGGTGACAGTCCTTACAGTCAGCTGGGTGTGCATAGGAGAGTCACAGTCTCTTCAGCATGGTTGGCCCTGTTGACACTTTTGGTGCCACTTGAGGAATTTATATGATATGTGTGAATGTTGTTATTCTCTTTGACTTTGGTACAAGTAGGAGACCCAGGACCTTATCCATTGTTGTAAGCCAACCTATGAGAGTCAAAATCTCTTCTCTTGGCTGTGTCCAGGTATATGAGTCATTGTAGCATCTGTATACCTATGTAGGCCCAGGTATATTTAATAATCCCACTTATGGGCAGAGATAATGCAGGAGAGTCACATCACCTAGGTTCTGGGCCCAGTGATATATTCAGGATAAATGAATTACAATTTTAAAAATAAATATAGTAAAATAACAGGCCGGATGTGGTGGCTTGTGCCTGTAATCCCAACACTTTGGGAGGCCGAGGTGGGCAGGTAACCTGAGGTCGGGAGTTTGAGACCAGCCTGACCAACATGGAGAAACCCCATCTCTACTAAAAATACAAAATTAGCCGGGTGTGGTGGTGCATGCCTGTAATCTCAGCTACTCAGGAGGCTGAGGCAGGAGAATCACTTGAACCTGGGAAGTGGAGGTTGTGGTGAGCCAAGATCGCACCATTGCACTCCAGCCTGTGCAACAAGAGTGAAACTCTGTCTCTAAATAAATAAATAAATAAAACAAAATAAAATAAAATACTGTCATTACTTCTAGTTGACGTAACACAAGAATTCAGATGTTGTTGCTGTAGAAGCTCAATATGTCATGGCTGACTCCACTTTACTTCCTGTCTTTCTATTTTAGACAATCAAAGTAGCACAAGCAAAGCCAGAAATGCTCCACCCTGATTGCAAACACACCAGTGCCCTTCTAGTGA
Organism: Homo sapiens; assembly: GCF_000001405.40. Lineage (NCBI taxonomy): Eukaryota > Metazoa > Chordata > Mammalia > Primates > Hominidae > Homo > Homo sapiens. The sequence goes on along the minus strand of NW_003315962.1, from coordinate 309,825 downwards.
GAATATATGTGTGAGGATATTAACTTGAAATTCTTGGCATCTTTTGTTGAAGTACAGACTTCTATATGACAAATAATAAAGACAAGAATTTAACATTGCAATAGAATCAGAAAGATATTCTAAAAGTACCTTCTAATCCATTATTATTATTATTATTATTTCACCAGAATGGTTGTGATAGAGTGGTTGCAGCAGTGTGGTCATAAATAACCCATACCGTGTACTTTGTCATTTTTGGTCTATGACCATAAGACTTTTATGCTTAAAAATAAATGTTTTCTTGCCAGGTGGAGTGGCTCACACCTGTAATTCCAGAACTTTGGGAGTCCAAGGCAGACAGATCACCTGAGGTCAGGAGTTTGAGACCAGCCTGGCCAACATGGCAAAACCCCATCCCTACTAAAAATACAAAAATTAACTGAGCATGGTGGCAGGTGCCTGTAATCCCAGCTACTCAGAGGGCTGAGGCAGAAGAATTGCTCGAACCTGGGAGGCAGAGGTTGCAGTGAGCTGAGTTCACGCCACTGGACTCAAGCCTGGGTGACAGAGCTAGACTCCACAAAAAAGAAAAAAAATTATTTTCCTAATTCAGGAATTTAACATGATTTTCACAGCCTCACATTTTCAAAAATGGTTTATTCTAAAAGAGAAATGTGATTAAACCATTTTTTCCCCAAAAAGAGTAGAGTGACAAATTATAATCTAGTGTACAGTTAATAAATACAATATAAAGATGTGGCCATTTATTTTAGCTGCATACTTGGGGATAAGACACTTTTTGGGCTATAAACCAAGGGTTTTCAGAGACGTTAGGTCATAAAACGTGGGGCGACCAGGTATAAAAACATTCACCTCTGTACCCAAAACGGACATAATTCTGTGTCTTTCACTCCTAATTTCAACTATTAACCCAGAACTGGAGAAATATAACATGCCATTATACCACAAAGCATTTTATTATTTTTATTTTAGATTCATGAGGGTACATGGGCAGATTTGTAACATAAGTATACTGCCTGATGTCGAAGTTTGGGCACTTAATAATTCCATTGTCCAAGTAGTGTACCTCATACCTGATAAGTAGTTTTTCAATGCTGGTCTTGGCAGTTTTTTTAAGAACTCCCAGCATTTATTGTTTCCATGTTCACCCAATGTTTAGCACCCAATTATAAGTGAGAACATGTAGTATCTGAAATACGTATATACCGTGCAATACTAAGAAACCACAGAAAAAGATGTTCTTTGCAGCAACATGGATGCAGCAGAAGGCCTTTATTCTTTTTTTTTTTTTTTTGACCTTTGAAGTTTTTATTGGCCTCTTGCTCCCCAAAGAGTACCCTGCTTCTGCTGGCTTAATGTCTCAATTTGGTGTCATTGGTCTCAGACAGCACTTTGCCATCCATTCTCTGGCGGGTGGTGGTCTTTTTGATGGTTTGCATGGAGTTGCTGCTGTCCAGGGCATCACCTAGATTGAAGTCCTTGCCATCTTCCAGCAGGCGGCGGTAGGTGGTGATCTCAGCCTCCTGCTTGACTTTGATGTTCAGCGGGGCCTTGTACTCCTGGGCCTGCTTGACTTTGATGTTGAGCAGGGCCTTGTACTCCTGGGCCTGGACCTGTGCCAACTCTGACTACAGGTGCAGCAGGATCCCATTGAGGTGCTCCATCTGCAGGGCATAGTGGGCTTCCACCTCCCTCAGGCTGTCCTCCAAGCTGGCAGAAGGCCTTTATTCTAAGCAAATTAACAAAGAACATGAATCTAAGATTCATGGGTACCTACTTTAATTCTGTCTTTTTTTATGGTGAATAGTGCTGCAGTAAACATGTGAGTGCCAGTGTCTTTTTGGTAAAATAATTTTTTCTTTGGGTATATACCCAGTAATTCGATTAATGGGCCAAATAGCTATTCTATTTTTAGCTATTTGAGAAATCTTCAAACTGTGTTCTACAGGGGCTGAATTAATTTGCATTTCCACCAACAGTGTATATAGATTCCCTTTTCTCCACAACCTCAACATGTTTTTATTTTTGTTGCATTAACTTCTAAGGTGTTAGTTATAATTTTTTTTCTAGAGCCCTGTGTCTAGAAGAGTACTTTCTGCATGTTCTTCTAGAGTTTTAATAGCTTGAAGTCTCACAGTTAAGTCTTTAAACTATATTGAGATATATTGTTTATATGGTGGGAGGAAGAGTTTTTTTTCTTCTTCTGCATATGACTAACGAGTTTTCCCAGTATCATTTATTAGATAGGGAGTTATTTTCTTTTTATTTCTGTTGACTTTGTCAAAAGTAGGTTGTAGGAGTGTAGCTTTATTTCAGGGCTCTCTCTTCTGTTCCACATGGTTTGGCTCTGTGTCCCCACCCAAATCTCACCTTGAATTGTAATAATCCCCACATGTCATTGGAGGGTCTGGGTGGGAGGTGATTAAATCATGGGGGTGGGTTTTTCCCATGCTGTTCTCTGGGTCGTGAATAAGTCTTTTAAGATCTGATGGTTTTATAAAAGGGAGTTCTTCTGCACATGCTTGCTCTTGCCTGCTGCCATGTCTTGCTTTCCCTTTGGCTTCCATCATGAATGTGAGGCCTCCCCAGTCATATGGAACTGTGAGTCAATTAAACCTTTCTTTTATAAATTACCCAGTCTCAGGTGTGTCTTTATTAGCAGCATAAAAATGTACCAATATAGTCTGTATGTATATTTTTGTACCACGACCATGTTATACCGATTACTGTAGCTTGTAGCACAGTTTGAAGTCAGGTAATTCGAGGCCTCCAGGTTTTATTTTGTTTGTTTGTTTAATGTTGCCTTGGCTATTTTGGCTTTTTTTATTCTTCCATATAAATTTTAGAATAGCTTTTTTCCCTATTTCTATAAAAATGGCACTGATAGTTTGATAGGAATAAAAATCTGCAGGTTGCTTTAAGTGGCATGGACATTTTAATTATATTAAATCTTCAAATTCATAAGCATGAAATGCTTCTCCATTTATTTGTGTTTTGTCTGATTTCTTTCAGCAGTGTGTTTTCTTTGTAGCGATATTTTACCTCCTTCGTTTAATGTATTCCTAAGTATGTTATTTTTTGTTTTTGGCTATTGTAAATAGAATTCTGTTCTTTTATTTTTTACCTCTGAACTTTTTATTGGCCTCCTGCTCCCCAAAGGGTACCCTGCTTCTGCTGGCTTAATGTCTGAGAACTTTGGTGTTGTTGGTCTCAGACACCATTTTGCCATCCACCATCTGGCGGGTTGTGGTCTTTTGGATGGTTTGCTTGGAGTTGCTGCTGTCCAGGACATCACCAAGATTGAAGTCCTCGCCATCTTCCAGCAGGCGGTGGTAGGTGGCGATCTCAGCCTCCTGCTTGACTTTGATGTTCAGCGGGGCCTTGTACTCCTGGGCCTGGTACTGCCCCTCTGCCAGGGTCTGTACCAGCTCTGACTCCAGGTGCAGCAGGATCCTGTTGATCTGCTCCATCTGCAGGGCTTAACATGCCTCCACCTCCCTCAGGCTGTTCTCCAAGCTGGCCTTCAGATTTCTCATTGAGTCCAGGTCGATCTTCAAGGACTGGACTGTACATCTAAGCTCTGTGAGCATCATCTCAGCAGCTACAACCTTGGTGGACTGCGTGGTGACCACTATATACTCTCCTCAATCTGCTGAGACTGGTACTTGTCCAGCTCCTCTCGGTTCTTCTGAGCTACCTCGTCGTATTGGGCCTGGATGTCTGCCATGATCTTGGCAAGGTCCTGAGCTTTGGGGGCAACTACCTCCCTGGTCAACCCAGAGCTGTCGACCTTGGCTTGTAGTCCTTTTACTTCCTCTTTGTGGTTCTTCTTCATAAAGAGCAGCTCCTCCCTGAGAACCTTGATCTCTGTCTCCAACCGCAGCCGAGTGACATTGGTGTCATCAATGACTTTGCAAAGCCATGGATGTTGCTCTCCACAGACTGGCACATGGCCAGCTCTGTCTCACACTTGGGTCTAAAGTCATCAGCAGCAAGATGGACTGAAGGGGGCCAGCCCCTCCACACCTGTGGGTATTTCTTGTCAGGTGGGATGAGAGACTGAGAAAAGAAATAAGACACAGAGACAAAGTACAGAGAAAGAACAGTGGGCCCAGGGGACCAGTGCTTAGCATACAGAGGACCCACACTGGCGCCAGCCTCTGAGTTCCCTCAGTATTTATTGATCATTATTTTTACTATCTTAGCGAGGAGAGTGTAACAGGGCAACAGGTGGGGAGAAGGTCAGCAGGGAAACATGTGAGCAAAGGAATCTGTATTATGAATAAGTTCAAGGAAAGGTACTGTGTCCAGATGTGCACGTAGGCTAGATTTATGTTTCTCTTTACCCAAACATCTCAGTATAGCAAACAGCAACAGAGCAGTACTGCTGCCAGCATATCTTGCCTCTAGCCACAGGGCGGTTGTCTCCTATCTCAGAAGAGAATGAATGGGAATGGCCAGCTTTACACTGAGACATTCTATTCCCAGGGATGAGCAGGAGACAGAAGACTTCTTCTAATCTCAACTGCAAAGAGGCCTTCCTCTTTCACTAATCCTCAGCACAGACCCTTTATGGGTGTCAGGCTGGGGGATGGTGAGGTCTTTCCTTTCCCATGAGGCCATATCTCAGGCTGTCTCAGTGGGGGGAAACCTTGGACAATACCCAGGCTTTCTTGGGCAGAGGTCCCTGCAGCTTTCCACAGTGCATTGTGTCCCTGGTTAATTTAGAATGGAAAATGGCAATGACTTTTACCAAGCATACTGCCTGCAAACATATTGTTAACAAGGCACATCCTGCACAGCCCTAAATCCATTAAACTTTGATTCATTACGCACGTTTCTGTGAGCACAGGGTTGGGGCTAAAGTTACAGGTTAACAGCATCTCAAAGCAGAAGCAATTTTTCTTAGTACAGATCAAAATGGAGTTTCTTCTATCTTGCTTTTCTACATAGACACAGTAACAATCTGATCTCTCTTTCTTTTCCCCACAACGGACACTGTCGATCTGCAGAACGATGTGGGCATTGTCCACAGTATTTGTGAAGATCTGAGCCCTCAGGTCCTTGATGGTCTTGAAGTAATGGCTTGTCTCTGACCTGAGGTCCCATCTTCTCCAGGTGCTCCCAGATTTTGCTCTCCACCTTCCGGTTCTTGGTCCTCAGGCTCCTCACTCTGTCCAGGTAGGAGGCCAGGCAGTAGTTCAGGGTCTGCATGGTCTTCTCGTTCTGGATGCCTCCCATTCCTGTCAGACCCCTGGCTATCCCCGCAGCCAGGCCCCTGAACCCCATGGGCCTTGAAGCTGGTGAAGCAGGACACGGAGATCCTGGAACCAGAACCCCCCATGCCTGCATAGATGATGGCTGTGCTGCTGACTGGCCAGGCACCTGGACAGAGCCCAGGGACTGGTAATTGGTGAAGGTTGAGCGAGTGGTGAAGCTTATGCTGTCCAGGGAGGAGAGCAAGAGGACAGGACTCAGGCTTTGCTGACGACCAGAACTGTGTTTTTTATTTTGTTCTCAGCTTGAATGTTATTCATGTACAGAAATGCTACTCATTTGTGTATGTTAATTTTGTATCCTGAGACTTTGCTTAAGTCATTTTTTAGGCTTAGGGGTCTTTTTGTGGCATCTCCAAAGTTTCCCAGGTAGAGAATTATATCATCTGTGAGAATAATTTGACTTTCTCTTTTCTTATTTAGATCTCTTTTATTTCTTTATCTTGTTTAATTGCTCTAGCTAGGACTTCCAGAACTATGTTGAATACGAGTGTTAAGAGTGGATATTCTTGTCTTATTTTTATTCATATGGAGAGTTCATCCAGCTTTTGCCTGTTCAGCATGATTTCAGCTGCAGATTTGTCACAGATGGCTTTACTATTTTGAGATGTTTCTTTAATACCTAGTTTGTTGAGAATATTTTTATAGGTATTGGATTTTTTGAATGCCTTTTCTGTATCTATTGTGATAATCATGTTAGCTTTTAATCATCTTTACCTGATGAATCACATTTATTGACTTATATATGATGAAACATCCTTGCATTCATGAAGTAAATCTCCCAGGATTGTGGTAAAATAACGTTTTGATTTGATTATGAACTCAGCTTGCTAGTATTTTATGGAGAACTTTTGTTTTAATGATCACCCAAAATATTGGCCTATAGTTTTTGTTGTTGTTGTGTCTTCACTAGATTTTGATATCAAGGTGATACTGGTTTTATATAGTTAGGAAGAAATCCCACCTTGATTTTTGGAGTACATTCAGAGGATTAGTACTGGTTCATCTTTGTATATGTGGTAGAATTTAGTTGTGAATTCATCTGATCTAGGGCTATTCATGGTTCGCGGGTTTTCTATTACCAATGTATATATTTCTATTACTAATGTATGATTTCTATTACTATTCTATAATATAATGTATAATTTCTATTGCTAAATTTATAATTTCATTATACATTTTATTAATTTTTGCTGTGTTCAAGATGTTTGCTTCTTTCTGGTTCAATCTTGAGAGGTTGTGTGTATCCAGTTTATCTATTTCCTGTAAATTTTTTACTTCGCATGCATGGAGATGTTCATAGTAGTCTCTGAGGATGTTTTGTATTTATGTGGAGTTAGCTGTGATTTCACAACTCAACATTTAAATAGATGCAGAACAAAAGTTTAACACATTCCCTAATGATAAATCTCTGAAAAAATTAAGTATAGGAAAAATGCACCTGAAGCCAATAAATGCCACATATAACAAAAAGTGCACAGGAAACAGCATACTAAACAGGGAAAAGTTGTAAGCTTTTACTCTGAAAGTTAGAACAAGACAAGGATGCCCACTTTCTTCAGTCTTGCTAAACATAGTACGAAATGTCCAAGACAGAGAAATTAGAGAATAAAATCAAAGGCATCCAGATTGGAAAAAAAAGTTGAATTATTACTATTTGTAGAAGACATAATCTTAAGTATAGGAAAGCCTAAGACTTTACTAAGAACTACTAGAAACTAATAAATTCATTAAATTTACAGAATAAAAAATCCACATGCAAAAGTCAGTGGCATTTTTGTAAACAATTAACTATCTCAAAATAAAATTAAAAAACAATCCTATCTACAATAACTGTAGTAACTACACTTTGAGATAAATGTAACCAAAAAGTTGAAACACCTTACATTATAATCTAAAGAATATTAAAGTAATAAATAATACACAAATGAAAATATTTATGAATTGGCATTAATATTGTTAAATACCTACATTATACAAAATGATATACAAATATAATGCAACTTCTATCAAAATACCAGTGACAAACATCATAGGAATTTAAAAATATCTATCTAAAATTTATATGGTGCTGCAGAAGACCCTGAGTAGCAAAAGCGATCAAACAAAACAAAAAAGGCTGAATGTATTACCCTACCTGGCTTTGAAATATGCTACAAAGCTATAGTAACCAAAACAGTATGGTACTGCAATAAAAAAAGACACATAGGCCAGTGGAGCAGAAGAGAGAAATGAGAAATGTATTCATTTACTTACAGCTGATTATATTAACAGGTGACAATCTTTTAGGGAAATGACAATGTCTTCAATAAATGATGTTGAGAAAACTGTATAGCCACATGCAGAGCAATAAAATGAGACCCTCATTTCACACCATATATAAAAATCAACTTAAAGTAAATTAGATATTTAAATGTAAGGCTTGAAACTATGAAACTACTACAAAAAATATACAGTGAAAGCCCCATAACATTGGTCTGGGCAGTGACTTTCTAAAATTTAATCTCAGAATCCCAGGGAACCAAAGAAAAATTAGAGGAGTCAGATTACTTCAAATTAAAAAGTTGCTGCACAGAATCTGATACAATCAACAGGATGAGAAAACTAAAAAATGGGAGAAAATATGTACAAATTATACATGTGACAAGGGTTTAATATCAAAATATATAAGAAACTCAATTATAGAATAAAAAATAATATTAAAAATGAATTAAAGACTTATTTTTCAAAAAAGACATATAGGCAAGAGATATAAAAAATAATCAGTATCAATTATTACCAGGAAAAGCAAAAAAAAAAGAGAAAAAACTATGATATCAACTCACTTGTTAGAATAACTCTTATTAAAAAGAAAAAAATTAGTAAAGGTGTGAAGACAAAGGAATGCTTGGGGGCCGGCTGTAGTGGCTCACGCCTGTAATGTCAGCACTTTGGGAGGCTGAGGTGGGTGGATCACGTGGTCAGGAGATCCAGACCATCCTGGCTAACATAGTGAAATTCCATCTCTACTAAAAATACAAAAAATTAGCCAGGCGTGGTGGCGGGTGCCTGTAGTCCCAGCTACTCGGGAGGCTGAGGCAGGAGAATGGCGTGAACCTGGGAGGCGGAACTTGCAGTGAGCCGAGATTGCCACTGCACTCCAGCCTGGGCAACAGAGCGAGACTCCGTCTTGAAAAAAAAAGAAAAAGAAAAAGGAAAAAGAATGTTTGCATATTGTTGGTTTGAGTGTAAATGAGAACAGCCTTTATAAAAATAAAATAGGCCGAGCACGGTGCCTCATGCCTGTAATCCCAGCACTTTGGGAGGCCGAGGCAAGTGGATCACCTGAGGTCTGGAGCTCGAGACCAGCCTGACCAACATGGAGAAACCCTGTCTCTACTAAAAATACAAAATTAGCCAAGCGTGGTAGTGCATGCCTGTAATCCCAGCTACTCGGGAGGCTAAGGGAGGAGAATTGATTGAACCTGGGAGGCAGAGGTTGCGGTAAGCCGAGATCATGCCATTGCACTCCAGCCTGGCAACAAGAGTGAAACTCCATCTCAAAACAAACAAACAAACAAAAATAAATAAATAAAAAATAGAGAAGTCTCAAAAAATTTAAAACTATCATATAATACAGCAATTGTAATATTGGATATATATCCAAAACAATCAGAATAAAAAAAATTTGCACTTCTATGTTGTTTGCAACACTCTTTACAATTGTCAAAATATAGAATCAACAGTTTAACATCAAATGAGTAAATAAAGACAATATAGTAGGCTGGGGACAGTGGCTCATGCCTGTAATCTCAGCACTTTGGGAGGCCGAGGCGGGTGGATCACTTGAGGTCAGGAGTTCAAGACCAGCTTGGCCAATATGGTGAAAACTCATCTCTACTAAAAATATAAAAGTTAGTTAGCGGGAGGTTGCAGTGAGCCGAGATTGCACCCCTGCTCTCCAGCCTGGGCTACAGAGAAACACTCTGACTCAAAAAGAAAAAAAAAAAAGTATGATATATTTAAACAATGGAATACTACTCACCTTCAAAAAAGAAAATTCTATTATTTTCAGTCAGATGGATTACATTACCTGAAATAAGCCAGGCACATCAAGATTATTATTATTTTTGCAACAGAGTCTTGCTCTGTTGCCCAGGCTGGAGTGCAGTGGTGCAATCTCAGCTTATTGCAACCTCTGCCTCCCAGGTTTAAGCGATTCTCCTGCCTCAGCTGGGACTACAGGCACCCGCCACCATGCCCAGCTACTTTTTGTATTTTTAGTAGATGGGGTTTCATCACAGTGGCCAGGCTGGTCTCAAACTCCTGACTTTGTGATCTGCCCGCCTCGGCCTCCCAAAGAGCTGGCATTAGAGATGTAAGCCACCGCACCCGGCCTAGAAAGATTATTTCATAATTTTACTTACACACGGATCCTCAAAAAACGTAATCTCATGGAAGTAGAAAGTAAAATGGTGACCACCAGATACCAAGGTATTTAGAAGGGGGGTTTGGAAAGACGTCAGTCAAAAAATACATAATTATACTTGAATAGGAGAAATAATTTCAA
>NT_187621.1:0-52969 GCF_000001405.40 Homo sapiens | reverse complement strand
GGTCCGCACAGTGGCCAGTTCTGAACATCAGGAGGCTGAGCTGTTGCTGCACAGCGTGGGGTGAGACCCTGGGGCGTCCAGCCAGGAAGACGGGGACTTCAGCAGGCTCAGAAGAAAGAGGCGGGAGGCGGCCGCAGTTACCCGGACTCAGGAGAGAGAGACGGGAGGCAGATGCAGTTACCCAGACTCAGGAGAGAGCTGGGAGGCGGACAGTTATCCGGACTCAGGAGAGAGCTGGGAGGCGGACAGTTATCCGGACTCAGGAGAGAGCTGGGAGGCGGACAGTTATCCGGACTCAGGAGAGAGAGCTGGGAGGCAGATGCAGTTACCCGGACTCAAGAGAGAGAGCTGGGAGGCGGACGCAGTTACCCGGACTCAGGAGAGAGCTGGGAGGCGGACACAGTTACCCGGTTCCTCGGATTCTCCCGGATCTTGGTCCTGTCTGAGGTTCTGCCTTCCCAGTGGTTGTCCTGTCTGGGCCACCAGCACCTTCATCGTTCTCTTTTACAACGACTCCCTTGAAGACCTGATTTCAGAAGGAAGCCACATCCCCTCTGGGTGTCAGCGTGCTGATAAAGCGCGGGCCCCCTCCCAAGGTGGGAACCGTGTGACCCCCGCCCCCCCAACCCCCACACCACGCATCCCTCCAGTCATGGGACTCGCGCCCAAAAATAAAACCAGGCAGGGGACACGCTCTGCTGCCCGCTGGACGTTTGGCTGGCCCGTGGCTCTGAGGCTCGGGGTGGGCCGTGTCACCGGGGCCGCGTGGGGAGAGGGTCTCCGGGGCCGCGTGGGGAGAGCGTCTCCGGGGCTGCGTGGCAGAGGGTCTCCGGGGCCGCGTGGGGAGAGCGTCTCCGGGGCTGCGTGGCAGAGGCTGCGTTGGGGTGTTCTCAGGCCCCAAGACCCCACCCAGTGTCCCACTAGGGTTTATCCTGGGGATTGGGGCAGCTGGATGCCCCAGAGACATGGCGTGGTCACAGCTGCTGCAAGAAACGGCGGCGGAGTCAATGGGGGAAGGGTCCGGAGGGCTCAGGACCATGGGGTGGGAGCCAGCCCTTGGGGGCGTGGGCCCTCGGACAGGACCGAGTCTGCAGGCAGGGCTAGGGGCTGGGGGCTGCGGGAGGGCCTGGGGATCGGGGCAGCAGGGGTTGTGAGATATGGCCGAGGACAGGGTGGGAGGCGATGGGGGGCTGGCAGTGGGCGGAAAGGCAGGGCTGTGGGTCCTGAGGGATTGCAGAGGGTGGGCGTTCTCAGGAGTGGCGGGTCCTAAGGGATTGCAGAGGGTGGGCGTTCTCAGGAGTGGCGGGTCCTGAGGGATTGCAGAGGGTGGGCGTTCTCAGGAGTGGCGGGTCCTGGGGGATTGCAGAGGGTGGGCGTTCTCAGGAGTGGCGGGTCCTGGGGGATTGCAGAGGGTGGGCGTTCTCAGGGGTGGCGGGTCCTGGGGGATTGCAGAGGGTGGGCGTTCTCAGGGGTGGCGGGTCCTGGGGGATTGCAGAGGGTGGGCGTTCTCAGGGGTGGCGGGTCCTGGGGGATTGCAGAGGGTGGGCGTTCTCAGGGGTGGCGGGTCCTGGGGGATTGCAGAGGGTGGGCGTTCTCAGGGGTGGCGGGTCCTGGGGGATTGCAGAGGGTGGGCGTTCTCAGGAGTGGGCACAGCCTGAAGTGTTGGGTTGTGGGGGGACTTGGAAGTGGGCCCCGGGTGCAGGGTCGCCCCAGCCCGGCACCCACGCATCCCCTTCTGTCTCTGGATGGGCCCGTCCTGGACAGTGCATAGTAGTGGGATCACACACATCTGTGCCTGGCGTCTCTCACAGAGCGTGACGTCCTCAAGGTGCGTCTGCGCTGTGGCCTAGGTCGGCCTCGCTGCTGTTCATGGCTGTGTCGTGTTCTGGCACGTGGATGGGCCACGCCACATGCTGGTCCACTCGCCTATCCGTGGACACTGGGCTGCTTCCTCGGGTGGCTGTTGTGAGTGGTGCTGCTGTGGACGTGCATGGCCACGTTTCTGTGTGGTGTGGAATTGCTCGGTGGTGTGGTGACTCCAGCGTTAGCCTCTTGAGGAATCCCAGACTGCCAAGCAGCCGTGTGTGAGGATCCGCCTCCGCCTCCGCCTCCTGGTTTTGGGCCCTGACTCTTGGTTGGTTGTGCCTGGTGTCCGCATTGTTCTCCTGCCCCCATCCCCTCCCGGTCCAGGTCTCCACACCCTGCCAGGTCCCCAAGGCATGGACTCCAGGTCACATGCCATGTGTGAAGCCCTCCCCTTGAAGAACCCGGTCCCCTGAGCCTCCTGGGGTTGCCGCCTGGAAGGGGCGTCCACAGACGTGGGGGGCTCAGAGACCGTAGGGAGGGAGGAGCTGCCAGGAGCACCGTGCTGGCCTAGGGGACTCGGACACAGGCGAGCTCAGGGCCCCTGCTGCTGGAGGGGTCCCTCAGCTATGGTGTACCCCGAGGACGGTCATGGGGTCGCCCCAGAGCTGCCCAAGGTGCCCCCTCCCCAAGCTCCGTCCACCGTGGGGCCTGGGCCCTGCTGCCCATCAGCTCAGGACTGTGTGGCCTCAGAGCTGAGGAGCGCCCTGAGTGTGGAAAAGGTCAGCGTAGCTCTGGGGCTGTGGCTGCCGTGAGATGGAACCTGCAGCAGGAAGGGGTGCTGACAGGAGCTGAGGGGAGTCCCTGCAGGGGAGGGGCTGCTGAGCCCCAAGGCAGGGGGTGGGCCACCCCCTAGCACTGGTGGGCCCCTGGATGGGGACCCCGGTATCAGCAGCTGCCTTGGGCCCAGCAGAGCTGTTTGTGGCCACCAGCACACGGGGCCGGGGTCGGGGGGTCCCAGGCTCTACCCAGAGAACCTGTCTCCCAGAGGAACATACCGAGGCTTGGAGGAGCTTGGGTGTCTGAGGTTATTCAACTCAGAAGGTGGAGCCAGGCTTTGATCCTGCCTGACCCAGAATCTTTGACAAGGATTGGCCAAGACCCCAGATCCCAGCGGGCCTGTCCCTTCCCCTAAAGGGCCGTTCTGGCAAGGGTGTCGCAGGTCCCCGTGGGCAGCTGGAAGGGCTGCCAAGGGTCCCAGCTCTGGTGGCAGTGGGTTGTAGCGTCCTGACTGCAGGGAGCAGGCAGAGGCCGCGGACAGTTGGGACGGCCTGGCAGGGTGACCCCCACTGTGCCTGACCACCTCCATCTGGTCTCTGGGACAGGAGTCCCGACCCCCAGCCCCTGTTGCCCGGCCACTGTCTCTGGAGCGCCGGGCAGAGACGTGCCTCTCCCCCACGGGATTGCACAAGTGCCTGCGTGTGGCTGGACGGCAATTACTGGAAGTCCCGGAGATTTCTTCACTCCAGGGCTTGGCCGGGAGTGGCCGCCGCCTCCCCTTCCTGCCGCCCTCGGCAGTGAGCATGCTGGGCGGACGCCTGGAAAGCTTTCCCTGCCACCACGGGCCAGCCTGGGTCCCTGCACTCGCCAGGTAGGGCCTGGTGGGGGCTCAGCCTGGCGGGCGTCTGGCCGTGTGCCAGAGGCCGCGGGGCACGTGGGAGCTGTCCCTGGCGTCTGATGGTGTGGGGCTCGGCTCTGTAGCCCAGGAACGTTCTCAGTGGGGATGCTGGTGTGTGATTAGCCTGAAACGAGGTCTGGGTGCTCTTCCAGCTCTGCGTGGCCCCTGACCCCCCTCCTTGGGAGACCTCACTGTGGAGCCCCTGCTGCCTCTGAGGGACAGGGCTGGGTCCAGTGTCCCCTGGGCTCCCCTGGGTGCCGGGCCCGGGTTGGACTCTCCCTCCACAGTCTCACACCGGCTGCTGACAAAGCCAGATGTGGGGGAGTCAGCCTGCAGCTCCACTGCTCACAGTCTGGGTGCCTGGTCCTACGGCTGCCCTGTGACCTGGGCAGCCCTGTCGGGCCCACCTTAATCGTTGTAGTTGGGGCCGGGGAGGCCAGGAAAGGCGCTGTGGGCAGCACAAAGGAGTTGGGTGGCACTGCTGATGGCGGGTGGGGGTGAGTGGGGAGGGGAAGGAGCGCCTTTTGGTTCCGGCCCAGGAGGTAGCAGGAGCTGCAGCCCAGGCTGGGACCGGTCATGCCCGAGGGAGAGGCGGCCGGGGAGCACCACTCTCCACCACCGTTGGACTCTCAGGACGTCCCCGTCTCCCTCTGCAGATCATGATGCTGCCGCCACCGCCGCCACCACGGAGCGAGAAGCCCAGATAGACGCCCCGGCGGCCCCGGGTCCTGGAGTCCCGCCGCCTGCTGCCCGGCCGAGGACCCCACCCCGCCTGCCGCCCGATGCTTGCAGTGGGGCCCGCCATGGACAGGGATTACCCGCAGCATGAACCCCCGCCGGCGGGCAGCCTCCTGTACAGCCCGCCGCCCCTGCAGGTGAGCCCCACCCCCGGCCCCGGCCCACCCGACGGGGTCCACGGGCACTTGCCCCGCTCCGAGTGCCCGGGGTCACGTCGTGCGGAATGCTGCCCCAGTGGACGCGGCGTGATCTCCACCTGACCTTCCTGGCCCGGAGCCCGGCTCCACCCGCCCCCGTGGGCCCTGGAGAAGGGTCCCCATGGGGATGTGAATGGGAGGCTACTCATGGCCCCAGCTTTTCAAGAAGCACATTTGAGGAGATTCTCCCTGCTGCAGAGCTTCCAGTTCCTTCGCCGTCAGCTGTAGGGGGGGCTCAACTTTACTTGTAGGAACCTGTCAGTGAGGGAATTACTTAAAAAATATGTTTCTGGCCAAGTGGCTCGTGCTTGTAATCCCAGCACTTTGGGAGGTGGAGGTGGGCAGATCACCTGAGGTCCCGAGTTCAAGACCAGCCTGGCCAACATAGTGAAACCTCGCTTCTGCTAAAGATACCAAACTTAGCCAGGCGTGGTGGCGGACGCCTGTAATCCCAGCTACTCGGGAGGCTGAGGCAGGAGAATCGCTTAAATCTAGGAGGCAGAGGCTGCAGTGAGTGGAGACGGCGCCACTGAACTCTAGCCTGGGCGACAAGAGTGAGACTCCATCTCAAAAAAATGAAAAATAGGCCTGGCACGGTGGCTCACGCCTGTAATCCTAGCACTTTCAGAGGCCAAGGCGGGCAGATCACTTGAGGTCAGGAGTTTGAGACCAGCCTGGCCAACATGGTGAAACCCTGTCTCTACTAAAAATACAAAAAATTAGCCTGGCGTGGTGGCAGGTGTCTGTAATCCCAGCTACTTGGGAGGCTGAGGCAGGAGAATCGCTTGAACCTGGGAGGCAGAGGCTGCAGTGAGCAGAGATTGCACCACTGCACTCCAGCCTGGGTGACAGAGCGAAACTGTGGCTCAAAAAGAAAAAAAAAAATTTTTAAATTAAAAATATATAAACGTGTATATATATATTTATTTTTATTTTATTTCATTTTATTTTATTTTGTTTTGTTATTTTTAAAACACGGTTTCACTCTGTTGCCCAGGCTGGAAGTGCAGTGGTGCGATCTCGGCTCACTGCAGCCTCTGCCTCCTGGGCTAGTGATTCTCCTGCCTCAGCCTCCTGAGTAGCTGGGACCACAGGTACGCGCCACCATGCCCGGCAGATTTTTAAAATTTTCTCGTAGAGATGAGGTTTTGCCCCGTTGGACACGCTGGTCTCAAACTCCCGGGCTCAGTTGACCCGCCTGCCTTGACCTCCCAAAGTGCTGGGATTACAGGCGTGAGCCACCGCGCCCGGCCCTGCCTGGGGATTTACCTGGAGACAGAGGGGCTGCCCTCTCCTATCAAGCAGCAGGACCTGCTCCAGGACTCCAGGGTCTCCTGGGTACTCCCTAGCCCAACACCCAGGTTGGCCTGTGGGGCGAACATCACAGACACCCCTCGGCAGTCCATCCTCAGAGGGCTTTGGGCAGCTTCCTGCCATGTTCTGACCGTCCAGAGGGGGCTCTGAGCCGGGGCCAGGGTACCCCTCTCGTAGCAGGGTCCCTGTTGCGGCCCAGACCCCTCCTGTCCCCCTCCCTAGTTCCTGAGTCCCTTGGGGTTGAGGCTGGATCCTCACAGCTGCCCCGGTGGAGCTCGAGTACCGGCCGTCGGTCAGCCTCCTGGGCCACCATAAAGGGGACTGGCCAAGCCACATCCCCACCGGAACAGCTCCATCCCCCGAAACCCGCCAGGAGCTTGTTCCGATCCAAGAATTCTATCTCGGAAACACACCCTGGGGACTAATCCAGGAGGGAGGGGAAGACAGAGCGGCACTATTTATAGTGGCAGGAAACTGGAATCTCCCCAGAGGCTCTACGGTGGGGAAATAATTAAGCGAATTATGGGATGTGGAGACAGAGGAGCCATCTTCAAGGATCCGAGCGGGAGCAGGAAGGTGTTAGCAGTGACAGTCGGGGAATGCGACAGGGCTGGAACCCGGCGGGGGCACTGGACACCAGCCACAGGGCTCAGGCCGGGGCGCACCCGTGCGCGTAACCGGCTTTGCTCCCCATCCCGTGTGTGAGGCTCATCCCACCCTCCCTGTTCCGGGTTCCGTCACATTCGGGTACGTCATGGACACCTCTGGGCAGGGTCGACTGAGTTCGCACACGCACAGCCCAGCCTCTTCCAGTGCCCAGAGTATTCAATTAGAAATAAAAATACACCGGCCAGCACAATGGTTCACGCCTGAAATCCCAGCACTCTGGGAGGCCGAGGTGGGCACATTGCTTGGGGTCAGGAGTTCGAGACCGGCCTGGCCAACATGATGAAATCCCATCTCTACTAAAAATACAAAAGTTAGCTGGGCGTGGTGGCGGGCGCCTGTAATCCCAGCTACGCATGAGGCTGAGACAGGAGAATCGCTTGAACTCGGGAGGTGGAGGTTGCAGTGAGCCACGATCGTGCCACTGCACTTCAGCCTGGGTGACAGAGTGAGACTCCGTCTCAAAATAAGGAAAGGAAAGAAAATCACCAGGCAGGCTCTGATTGTCTGGGCAGGGTCAGGTGCCCATCTCTGGACCAATTATGTGCTAGGACCTGCCATCTAAAGGTGAAGCCACACCCTCTGGCTGCCAGAGAAGGTCCCAGGGAAGACTCTGATTGGCCTGCCATGCCCATGGCACCCCTGTGGGGTGGGACTCGGGTGTGTGTGGATGGCAGGTCTCAGAGGAGCCATGGGCTGTGGGAGGGAGGAGACTAGGGGGATAGAGGCAGTCAGGACTTTCCCCCCGTCCCATCCCCTAGCCTGGCCTGGGTACAGGTGGAGCATGTTGGGTGAGCCAGGGACCCCTGGATCCTCCCGCCCTGCGACCCCAAGCCCCCCGCCCCCTTCCTGCAGCTGCAGTTCCCTGGCCGTGGCCCTGCCCAGCCTGGCCCAAGGCGCCGTGTGTGCCTGAGACGGACTCCAGCTCATCTGAGGAGGCTGGGTTGGTCTGGAGTCAGAGTTCTGTTCCAGAATGTTCCGGATGTGCCACATGGCCTTGGGAAGTTCCTGTTTCTCTCCAGGGCTGGCTTTCTCTCTTCCCAAAAGGGCAGGAGGAGGGGAAGGATCAGGAGACCCGGGCTCTGGAGCCCCTGTGGCTGGTGGCCCGGCTTCCTGCAAGCCACTTGCACGGGGTCTTCTCACGGGTGCAGGAGCTCAGGGTGCCCAGGCTGCCGGCCTCTGTGCAGGGGAGGAGCTGTGGGCTTTTGCTGATAAACTTATTTTATGCAAAAGCTGGAGGAGCGGGGCAGCGGTCACCCCGAGGGCTTTGCCTATCTCGAGGCTGTCGGGGGTCCTGGAATCCCCCACCCAGCACCTGCGGGTACAGAAAGTGGCCCCCGGCCATCCGGGCTGGTTCCCAGCCAGTGTGAGGTGAATGAGGGGCAGAGGTGGCCGAGCCCCAGGGAATTGCATCAGGGCCTCATAGAGGAGCAGGGCTCACGTGGGCCTGGGAGAGGTCACTGGGGGACTCAGGGAAGCAGGCGAACCCCCAACCCTGTTCTGGAAGCCAGCGTGGCCCCCAGTCCTGCTGGGATAAGCAGGATGATGCCCCCGGCTGGTGGTGTCTCCCCCATGACCACGGGGGCGTCCGTGACGGCAGGGTCTCCCCCGTGACCGTGGGGGCGTCCGTGACGGCAGGGTCTCCCCCGTGACCGTGGGGGCATCCGTGACGGCAGGGTCTCCCCCGTGACTGTGGGGGCGTCTGTGACGGCAGGGTCTCTCTGCTGCAGGTGAGGTTGGCCCTGTGCAGGTGGGGGCCCTGCTGAGGGGTGCCCATTCTGCAGGGCACGAGGTGTCCACAGCCCTGCCCCCGAAGCCGCAGGTGCTGACCCTGGGCCCGCTGCCGCCCTTGGGCCCGCTGCTGCCCCGTGTGCTCCCCATCCTCAGGTTTTGGGGCCTGCCGTGTGCCTCAAGCCGCTCTCATTCCCAAGGGCAGGCATAGTGAGGTTTTCCCAGAGAACCATGGGGTGGGGACATCGGCTCCTGGCGAGGGTGTTGGGTAAGCCTGGCCTGGAGTCAGACCCACCAGAGATTCGGCCAACCTGGAGCCACTCACGCCTCCACTGACCTCGGGCTGAGCCTCCAGGCCACTGGTCACCATTTCCCAAAGCAGGCTCCCCGCACCCCAGCCCCGTGCAGCTTCTGAGAAGTCAGGGCCCCGTCCCGCAGCAGCCTGAGCTTCCCGGGCACATCAGCTTGTCCGAGGGGCCTGGAGGTGGTGTGAGGCCCTCGCCTGCCCCAGGCCCTGCCCGAGGAGCCCCCGACACCCACCCTCCACCACAGGCAGCGGGTGCGCGTCTCCCTCACGCAAACGGTCCGATCCTCCACCTCCTAGAATGGGGCCTCCAAGCAGGGTCCCGGGGCCAGCGGCACCCCCAGGTCTTGTGTGAGATGCAGACTCCCGGGCTGCGGGCCTGCACATGGGGCTGCTGGTAGAGCAAGACCTGTGCTGAGCCCTTCACGCGGGTGGTTCAGTGCCTTCAGACCACACCACAAGCCTTGGGTGGGGTCTTGTGCAGGTGGGGAAACTGAGGCACGGGGCAGTTAAATGACTCCCCAGGAGATACCAGCAGGGGCGGGATGGGACCCTGACTGCGGGGCCTCCCTAGCCTCTCGGCCTGTCACCCTGCCCGGAGGGCTTAGCCGGGCTGCACCGCAGGTCCTCTGCTTCCCACTCACTGATGCCCGCTGTCTCTTCTAGAGCGCCATGCTGCACTGCCCCTACTGGAACACCTTCTCGCTGCCGCCATACCCTGCCTTCTCCAGCGACAGCCGGTGAGTACCGGGACCCTCCCCGCCTGGCCCCCAGGCTTGCTCATTCTGAAGTCACAGTTACAAACGGAGTTCTGGGTGCAGGGCGCGAGGGCCCAAAGTCTTGTTGAGGGGTTTGGAGGGTGGTGTGCACGTGGTCCTGGAAGGCTCCACCCCACGGGCCAGGTCCAGGCTGAGACCCCTGTTTGTGGAACGCTGTTTTGTGATCCATGGCTTCCCTCTCCTCGAGAGCCCAGCTTGGTAGAGGGCGGGGAGGTGTGGGCTAGGGGCCAGGGGGCCTCCTGTGGAGGTGACACCAGGATGGGAAGGGGCGGGAGGTTTTCTGGGGTGAAGGAGGGTGGGAAGGGGCGGGAGGTTTTCTGGGGTGAAGGAGGGTGGGAAGGGGCGGGAGGTTTTCTGGGGTGAAGGAGGGTGGGAAGGGGCGGGAGGTTTTCTGGGGTGAAGGAGGGTGGGAAGGGGCGGGAGGTTTTCTGGGGTGAAGGAGGGTGGGAAGGGGCGGGAGGTTTTCTGGGGTGAAGGAGGGTGGGAAGGGGCGGGAGGTTTTCTGGGGTGAAGGAGGGTGGGAAGGGGCGGGAGGTTTTCTGGGGTGAAGGAGGGTGGGAAGGGGCGGGAGGTTTTCTGGGGTGAAGGAGGGTGGGAAGGGGCGGGAGGTTTTCTGGGGTGAAGGAGGGTGGGAAGGGGCGGGAGGTTTTCTGGGGTGAAGGAGGGTGGGAAGGGGCGGGAGGTTTTCTGGGGTGAAGGAGGGTGGGAAGGGGCGGGAGGTTTTCTGGGGTGAAGGAGGGTGGGAAGGGGCGGGAGGTTTTCTGGGGTGAAGGAGGGTGGGAAGGGGCGGGAGGTTTTCTGGGGTGAAGGAGGATGGGAAGGGGCGGGAGGTTTTCTGGGGTGAAGGAGGGTGGGAAGGGGCGGGAGGTTTTCTGGGGTGAAGGAGGGTGGGAAGGGGCGGGAGGTTTTCTGGGGTGGGTGAAGGAGGGTGGGAAGGGGCGGGAGGTTTTCTGGGGTGAAGGAGGGTGGGAAGGGGCGGGAGGTTTTCTGGGGTGAAGGAGGGTGGGAAGGGGCGGGAGGTTTTCTGGGGTGAAGGAGGGTGGGAAGGGGCGGGAGGTTTTCTGGGGTGAAGGAGGATGGGAAGGGGCGGGAGGTTTTCTGGGGTGAAGGAGGGTGGGAAGGGGCGGGAGGTTTTCTGGGGTGAAGGAGGGTGGGAAGGGGCGGGAGGTTTTCTGGGGTGAAGGAGGGTGGGAAGGGGCGGGAGGTTTTCTGGGGTGGGTGAAGGAGGGTGGGAAGGGGCGGGAGGTTTTCTGGGGTGAAGGAGGGTGGGAAGGGGCGGGAGGTTTTCTGGGGTGAAGGAGGGTGGGAAGGGGCGGGAGGTTTTCTGGGGTGAAGGAGGGTGGGAAGGGGCGGGAGGTTTTCTGGGGTGGGTGAAGGAGGGTGGGAAGGGCACTTTTCCCACAGAGGGCAGCAGCTGGGCTGGGTTCTGCAGGGGGGGTAGGAGTTGGCCAGGCGAGCAGTCGAGCAGGCTGTGCAAAGGGCTTGGGAGCAGGTATAGCCAGAGCCTTGGGAGACTCCAGGAGATTGTGGAGCAGCTGTTTGTGGCCCGGGAGTGGAGTGGATGCTTCTTTCCTGCTGGTGTTTGCAAACCTTTCTATGCAGGAGGAGAGTGGCCCCCAGGCGGTCCCTGCCCTGGGAGCAGGTCTGCCCAGGGCCGCCTCCAACCCAAGGCCTCCGGCTCCCACTGGGCAGAGACCTGGACCTGCTGCCAGCCCTGCTGGAGAGAAGCTTCTGGAGGGAGAGCCTGGGGAGCCTGGCGGGAGGGAAGGAGGCCCTGGGGACGGCGGCCACCCCTCTCCCAAGCGCAGGAGCTGGCCAAGGGGGCCGGAGTGGGGAAGGGCAGAGAAGCCTCCCTGCCAGCCACATTTTACTCCTGGGATCATCTGGAGAGAGGCGCCCCTGGGCGGGGGGCCCCCAGGACCTTCTCCTTGCTGTGTCCTTTGCCATCCTCAGGGTGACAGGGCGGGGGGTTCCGACCTGAGCCCTCCCTGGAGGACGGTGATCCTGGGTTTCTGCCCGTAGCGCTCTCCTCCTTCGAGGCGGGAGTGAGGTGTGGGTCAAGGGGCCTGTGTGTGGGGGAGGGATGGCCAGGCTGGGGTTCTGAATCGCCAGAATGAACCCTTAGCCGAGTCCTGCTGATGGAGCGGGGAGGGCGGGATGGTGGCCCTGGATGTCCCCCCGCCCACCAGGCGGCTGTTCCGTAGGAGCTCTGCCGGGCTGTGTCCAGTGGGGGTGGGAGGGCAGCCCCAGGCTTGACCACCACCCCCCTGGAGGCCCCTCTGTATGTGCAGCGGGGCCATGGGTCCTTCCGGGCTGGGCACACTCCAGTGGGGCCTCGAGGGGCCTCTGGCTGCGGCCATGGGGGTGCAGGTGTGTTACTGAGGGAGTGGGTTGAGCACCCCATCTCACCTCCCCCCCCCCCATCTCCCTCCAGCCCGTTCATGAGCTCCGCCTCCTTCCTCGGCAGCCAGCCCTGCCCAGACACCAGCTATGCCCCCGTGGCCACCGCCTCCAGCTTGCCACCAAAGACCTGCGACTTTGCTCAGGTAGGAGCCCCAGGAGCTCACCGCGCCGTGGGGGGCAGGGTGGAGTCTGGGCCGCCCCTCCAGCTGCCCTGCGACCTCTCTCGCTCAGGCCTGCCTGGGACTCAGTGACCTCGGCTTGGCCCCTCGGCCGCAGGGTTTACGGTGGGGCAGTAGGAGCCCAGAGATGTGGCTTGGTTTTGGGGAAGAGCCAGTGACTGGCCCTTCGTGTCAGCAGTGAGCCCCGCCCAGCCCTTGGGGTCCCTGCGAGCATCTGGGCAATGCCACAGAGGGAGTTGCGGGGAGGGCGGTGCTGGGAGAGATGCCCTTGGCAGCCTTTGCCCCCACGGCCCTCCCTCTAGGCGGGTCCAGACACCCTGCACATTGGAGTCCCAACCCCTTAGCAGCCACCTGAAAACGGAACTCACATACCAAAGGAACAGAACTTTCCACCTCCTTCTCCCCAGGGTCGCGGGGAGGCTCCCAGCCTCCCACTGCGGCATCAGGCGGACCCCACCCCCACCCTCCCAGCCTCCCCCTTCGGCATCAGGCGGACCCCACCCCCACCCTCACAGCCTCCCACTGCGGCATCAGGCGGACCCCACCCCCACCCTCACAGCCTTCCCCAAGGGGTTCCCAGTGCCCCAGCTTCCTCTCGGCAGCTCTGGAGCACCCAGTGCCACAGAGATCGGCTTCCCTGGGACGGTTCGGATACCACAGCCTCCGTGTGGGACCCGGGGCCAGGGGCTGCTGCTGGGCCGGACCACATCCAGGGCCTGCCGGGGAGCGAGGGTCACCTGGTGCTCAGCTCCCCCAAGCCTCCGCTTCCCCTGTGTAATGGGCATGTGAGATCTGCCTGGGCCTCAGAGCTGTTGGGGGGATGGGCGCAAGCCGGCCAGATCCAGAGAGAAGCGGTCAGGTGTGGCTGCAGCAGAATGGAGCCAATTCAGGTCCCAGGGCTCACCCAGACCCAGGCCCTGCAAACAGCTCGCCGGGTGGACCCCGGGCCCAGTTTTCCCCACTCAGGGCCGTAGCAGAGCGGGGCAAAGCCAGCCGGACCCTGAGTCTGTGCTGGGGTGACCGCGTCCGTCAAGTCCGCCTCCCCAGTAGAGTCTGTGAGGGGACCTTCCTGGAAAGTAGGGTCTTTTTGGATGTCATTGGGTAGGGATCAAGATGAGATGAGGTAGCTCTGAAATCCAGCACAAGGGTCCTCAGAAGAGACAGGAGAGATTGGGAGCTGGCGCCACGCTGGAGGCCGGGGCTGGGGCGGTGTGGCCACAGGTCAGTTTCTCCTGGAGCCCCAGGGCTGGAAGAGGTGGGTCAGAGCTGTGGGAGGGAGCAAGGCCCTGAGACACCTTGGCCTCAGACTCCCGGGCCCTGGGACGGGAAGAGGGTGGATTCCTGTCCTGTAGCCCCCAGTGTGTGGCCTGGAAATTGGCCTACCAGCTGTGTTCAGGGGAGGGGGGCGCCCCTGCTCATCTTGGGGCTGAGGTCAGCGAGGTGCGCACAGGGGCTCTGTCCTCACCCGCAGTAGCCCTGGACCCCCATGTGATCTGGTCCTGGCCAAGGTGTGGCAAGCTGCTGCGCCATGCCAGCCGGACACAGAAGGAAACTGAGGCAGGGGAGGCGCCTGTCCAGAGCTGGCATCTGTGCCCCACCCTTCAGGGGACGCACAGGGGAGGAGCCCGGGGTGCGACTGATGGCAGTGGCTCCTTCCTCACCGCCACTGCCTTCCTACCAGCCCCAGCCCTGGGTCAGCCTGTCCTTGCCCCGCCCCCTTCTTCTCTTTCACCCCTTCTCTGCCTCTTTCTGTGTGTTCCTTCTCTCTTTCCTTTCTTTCTTTCTTTTTTTTTTTTTTTGAGACAGAGTTTTGCTCTTGTTGCTCAGGCTGGAGTGCAATGGCACGATCTTGGCTCACTGCAACCTCCGCTTCCCAGGTTCAAGCGATTTTCCTGCCTCAGCCTCCCGAGCAGCTGAGACCACAGGCATGCACCACCATGCCTGGCTAATTTTTTTTTTTTTTTTTTTGGTAGAGACAGGGTTTCTCCATGTTGGTCAGGCTGGTCTCAAACTCCTGACCTGTGGTGATCCGCCCGCCTCAGCCTCCCAAAGTGCTGGGATTACAGGCGTGAGCCACCGTGCCCGGCCTGTCTCTTTCTTTTCTCTGTCTCTCTCTCTCCCTCTTCCCCCTGCTCCTAGTCTCTCTCTCTGTCTCCCTCCCTCTCAATCTCTCTCTGCCTATCTCCCTCTCTGTCTCTGCCTCCCTCTCTGCCTCTGTCTTCCTCTCTGCCTCTGTCTCTCTCTCTGCCTCTGTCTCTGTCTCCCTCTATGCTCCATCTCTCTGTCTCCCTCTCAGTCTCTGTCTCTGTCTCCCTCTTTGTCTCTGTCTCCCTCTCTGTCTCTGTCTCTCTGTCTCTGTCTCCATCTCCGCCTCTGTCTCTCTGTCTCCCTCTCTGTCTCTGTCTGTGTCTCCCTCTCTGCTTGTCTCTGCCCCTGTCTCTCTGTCTCCCTCTCTGTCTCTGTCTCTCTGTCTCCCTCTCTGTCTCTGTCTCTTTGTCTCTGCCTCTGTCTCTCTGTCTCCCTCTCCACCTGTCTCTTTGTCTCCCTCTCTGCCTCTGTGTCTGTTTCCCTCTCTGTCTCTGTCGCCCTCTCTGTCTTCGTCTGTTTCCCTCTCTGCCTCTGTCTCTGTCGCCCTCTCTGTCTTCGTCTGTTTCCCTCTCTGCCTCTGTCTCTATGTCTCTATGTCTCTGCGTCTCTGTCTCCCTGTCTCTGTCTCTCTCCATGTCTCTGTCTCTGTCTCCGTCTCCATCTCTGTCTCATGAATTCTCCTGCTCCTCCCCTCCTGAACAATTGCTGCTGCATCTGTTCAGCCCGGAGCCCTCGGGGCCACTGTGCTGGTTCTGTGAGCACCGCCCGCCCGGCTCCCTGCCCACCCTGCCTACAGCCGCCTCATGCTCCAGCGTCCGTATGTGGGGCAGCTTGGACCCAAATCTCCCTGTTAAAGCAGCAGAACTTCATTTGGAGGAAGTCTGACCCCGGTGCCAAGTGTGGGCCGGGCCGCGTGGTCCCCCAGTGCTGAGTGTGGGATGGGACGGGTGTGGGTCAGCTCAGTCCTGTGGGCTGGGCCGCAAGGTTCTGTGGTGTCGAGTGTGGGACGGGATGCGTGGTCCCGCGGTGCCAAGTGTGGGACGGGACGGGTATGAGTCAGCCCAGGCCTGTGGGCTGGGCCGCGTGGTTCTGCGGAGCCAGGAAGGAGCCCAGACCTGAGCCTGGTGTTCGAGGCCCTTTGCGCCGTGCCCCCCAGCGCAGCCCAGCCAGCCACGGAAGCCTCTGCTCCCGACTCAGACCTGAGGAAATGTGCTGGCCACACGGTTACAGCCTCCAAGACGTCCCCGTCCTGATCCCCAGGACCTGCCGCCGTGTCGCCTCTCATGGCAGACGGGACCTGCAGATGGGACTGAGTGATGGACCCAAGACGGGAGAGCTTCCTGGGTGACCTGGAGGCCCAGTGTCCTCACAGGGACCTGCAGATGGGACTGAGTGATGGACCCGAGACGGGAGAGCTTCCTGGGTGACCTGGAGACCCAGTGTCCTCACAGGGCCCTCATGAGAGGAGGCGGGAGGGTGAGAGCCAGAGAGAGACGGGAAGAGCCTGCGCTCTGGCCGTGAAGGGGGAAGAAGGGGCCCCAAGCCAAGGGATGCGGGTGCCTCTGGACACTGGAAAGGCAGGAACTGGGTTTTCCCCTGGAGCCCCCGGGAGGGACCTGCCCTGCCCACCCTTGATGTTACAAGTTCTGCCCTCCAGACTGTGAGAGGATAAGTGTGTGTTTCATTTATATATTTTTTTAATTTTTATTTTTAGAGACAGGGTCTGGCTCTGTTGTTCAGCCTGGAGTGCAGCGGTGCAATCTCGGCTCACTGCAGCCTCCACCTCCTGGGCTCAAGCTCCCACCTCAGCTTCCCCAGTAGCTGGGACCATAAGGACACACCACCACACCCAGATAATTTTTTATGTTTTGTAGAAATGAGGTCTCACTGTGTTGCCTAGGCTGGTCTCAAACTTCTGGGCTCAAGCGATTCTCCTGCCTGAGCCTACCAAAGCATGGGGATTACAGGCGTGAGCCACCATATTCAGCTTGTTGGAGCCATGAGGTTGACAGTAGCTTTTCACGGGAGCGAGGGGAAACGGAGGCACCGTTCAAAGCCATCGTGTGACCTGTGGCATGTGTGCATTCCCTGCAAATGTTTCCTGCTGTTGTATAAACCTGGAGGGATTGGTAGGGAGAACCTGTTCCTGGGCTGGGAGTGAGGGTGAATGTAAAACCCCACAGGCCATAACGAGACAGCTAGTCATGACTTTTTTTTCTGGAGACCGACTCTTACTCTTGCCCAGGCTGGAGTGTAGTGGCGCCATCTTGGGTAACTGCAACCTCTGCCTGGCGGGTTCAAGCGATTCTCCTGCCTCAGCCTACCAAGTAGCTGGGACTACAGGCACCCACCACCACGCCCGGCTAATTTTTATATTTTTAGTAGAGATGGGATTTCGCCATGTTGGCCAGGATGGTCTCGAACTCCTGACCTCAGGTGATCTGCCCGTCTCCCAAAGTGCTGGGATTACAGGCATGAGCCACCGCACCTGGCCTATTGTTTTTTGAGACGGAGTCTCGCTCTGTCACCCAGGCTGGAGTGCAGTGGTGCAATCTCGGCTCACTGCAACCTCTGCCTCCCAAGTGTGAGCCATTCTTCTGCCTCAGCCTCCCGAGTAGCTGGGATTATAGGTGTGCGCCACCACGCCTGGCTAATTTTTGTATTTTTAGTAGAGACGGGGTTTCACCATATTGGCCAGGCTGGTCTCGAACTCCTGACCTCAGGCGATCCGCCTGGTAACTATTGATACACCTGAGCCCTGAGTTTCTTGGCAGCCAGAGCAATAGGAGAAAGCAGATGAGCCGTGGACCCGGGCAGTGCCTGGGGCCAGTGGACTCCGCAGCACTGTTGGTTCTGCTGGAGAGCCTTCACGGCCTGGGGAGGGAGGCCACTGAGGGGCAGATTGATTGTGGGGAGGGAGGTCATTGAGGGGAGGGTTGATCGTGAGGGAGGTCATTGAGGGAGGGTTGATCATGAGGGAGGTCATTGAGTGAGGGTTGATCATGGGGAGGGAGGTCATTGAGGGGAGGGTTGATCTTGGGGAAGGAGGTCATTGAGTGAGGGTTGATCATGGGGAGGGAGGTCATTGAGGGGAGGGTTGATCTTGGGGAAGGAGGTCATTGAGTGAGGGTTGATCGTGGGGAAGGAGGTCATTGAGTGAGGGTTGATCTTGGGGAAGGAGGTCATTGAGGGGAGGGTTGATCTTGGGGAAGGAGGTCATTGAGTGAGGGTTGATCATGGGGAAGGAGGCCACTGAGGGGAGGGTTGATCGTGGGGAGGGAGGTCATTGAGGGAGGGTTGATTGTGGGGAGGGAGGCCATGAGGGGAGGGTTGATCGTGAGGGAGGTCATTGAGGGAGGGTTGATCATGAGGAGGGAGGCCATTGAGGGGAGGGTTGATCGTGAGGGAGGTCATTAAGGGAGGGTTGATCATGAGGAGGGAGGTCATTGAGTGAGGATTGATCGTGGGGAGGGAGGTCATTGAGGGGAGGGTTGATCGTGAGGGAGGTCATTGAGGGAGGGTTGATCATGAGGGAGGTCATTGAGTGAGGGTTGATCATGGGGAGGGAGGTCATTGAGGGGAGGGTTGATCTTGGGGAAGGAGGTCATTGAGTGAGGGTTGATCATGGGGAGGGAGGTCATTGAGGGGAGGGTTGATCTTGGGGAAGGAGGTCATTGAGTGAGGGTTGATCGTGGGGAAGGAGGTCATTGAGTGAGGGTTGATCTTGGGGAAGGAGGTCATTGAGGGGAGGGTTGATCTTGGGGAAGGAGGTCATTGAGTGAGGGTTGATCATGGGGAAGGAGGCCACTGAGGGGAGGGTTGATCGTGAGGGAGGTCATTGAGGGAGGGTTGATTGTGGGGAGGGAGGCCATTGAGGGGAGGGTTGATCGTGAGGGAGGTCATTGAGGGAGGGTTGATCATGGGGAGGGAGGCCATTGAGGGGAGGGTTGATCGTGGGGAGGGATGTCATTGAGGGGAGGGTTGATCTTGGGGAAGGAGGTCATTGAGTGAGGGTTGATCATGGGGAAGGAGGCCATTGAGGGGAGGGTTGATTGTGAGGGAGGTCATTGAGGGAGGGTTGATCATGGGGAGGGAGGCCATTGAGGGGAGGGTTGATCGTGAGTGAGGTCATTGAGGGAGGGTTGATCATGGGGAAGGAGGTCATTGAGGGAGGGTTGATCTTGGGGAAGGAGGTCATTGAGGGGAGGGTTGATCTTGGGGAAGGAGGTCATTGAGTGAGGGTTGATCTTGGGGAAGGAGGTCATTGAGTGAGGGTTGATCGTGGGGAGGGAGGTCATTGAGGGAGGGTTGATCGTGGGGAGGGATGTCATTGAGGGGAGGTTTGATCTTGGGGAGGGAGGTCATTGAGGGAGGGTTGATCATGGGGAGGGAGGTCATTGAGGGAGGGTTGATCGTGAGGGAGGTCACTGAGTGAGGGTTGATCATGAGGAGGGAGGCCATTGAGGGGAGGGTTGATCGTGAGGGAGGTCATTGAGGGGAGGGTTGATCATGGCTCACCTGGTGGTCTTCACTTCACAGACTCCGAGTAGGGCCACTGTGCCTGGGAGATTCTGCCCCTGGGAATGCAGGAGGTCATGTTTGAGTCAGGACTGGGCACGGTGGCTCACGCCTGTGATCCCAGCACTTTGGGAGGCCAAGGCGGGAGGATTGTTTGAGCCCAGGGGTTTGAGACCAGCCTGCGCAACATAGTGAGACCCTATCTGTATAAAAAATAGAAAAAATTAGTCGGGCATGGTGGTGCAAGCCTGTAGTCCCAGTATTTGGGTCCCATCTATTTGACTGAGGCATGAGGATCGCTTGAGTCTGGGAGTTCCCAGTGGGAGGCCCATTGTGTTTGTCCGTGTGTCCGTGATGGATGCGTGGAGGGCCCCACTGTGTTTGTCCGTGATGGACGCGTGGAGGGGCCCACTGTGTTTGTCCATGAAGGACACGTGGATCCAGCCTGGGCAACATAATGAGACCTCATCTCTATACAAAATTAAAAATTAGATTTACAGGTCAGGCGCAGTGCTCAAGCTTGTAACCCCAGCACTTTGGGGGGCCAAGGCGGGCAGATCACCTGAGCTTAGGAGTTTGAGACCATCCTGGCCAACGTGGCGAAACCCCGTCTCTACTACAAATACAAAAATTAGCTGAGCATGGTGGCGGGCACCTGTAATCCCAGCTACTCAGGAGGCTGAGGCAGGAGAATCACTTGAACTCGGGAAGCAGAGGTTGCAGGGAGCCGAGATTGCGCCACTGCATTCGAGCCTGGGTGACAGAGCAAGACTCTGTCTAAAAAAAAAAAAATTACAAAAAAATTGCAAAAACTAAGAGCTTGTTGGACCGGGGGAGTCAGCAGCCTCTGCGCTTGCCCCCGAAGAGGCAGTTCTCCAGGGTGCCTCTTCTCCGGGGCGCGTGTTCTCCGGGGCGCGTCTTCTCCGGAGTGCCTCTTCTCCGGGGCGCCTCTTCTCCGGGGTGCGTCTTCTCCGGGGTGCGTCTTCTCCAGGGTGTGTCTTCTCCAGGGTGTGTCTTCTCCAGAGTGCCTCTCCGTTGGTTTTGTCTGGGGTTGTCTCCTGACTGGATGGAGGAATCCCTCAGACGGCACCATGTACAGTGCGGCGTGGACCGGAGTGCCTGGCGTTGCGCGTGTTGTGCTGATGCTGGTAACTTTGGCCGCTTGGCGGGGACGGGGTTCCTTCACCATCCATTTCCTGTTTCTCTCAGCCTGGGGGAAGACCCAAGGCTGAGCAGAGGCTGGTCCTGCCCAAGGCGGGGTCAGCAGCCTCTGCCCGTGGGAGCTGCCTGCGGGCATCCCTGCTGCGTCCGTCTGTTTTCCGTGTGCCTTCTCCTGCTGACGGCTGGGTCTGTGTGGGACCCCCACCCCTTCCCCGCTCTCTGCCTGCTCCCTGGCCACCCCCACCCCCACCCCTGGGGCTCACGCTGCGCCAGGATGCCGCTGCTGGCATCCACCGTGGGCTGCGGGGCTCCCGCGGTGTCACGTGTGTGCCTTGCCCGGCCCTCCAGCCACCCTGGCCCGGAGGAAGGGCCCCCCTCACTTCTGCTC
Organism: Homo sapiens; assembly: GCF_000001405.40. Taxonomy (NCBI): domain Eukaryota; kingdom Metazoa; phylum Chordata; class Mammalia; order Primates; family Hominidae; genus Homo; species Homo sapiens. The sequence goes on along the minus strand of NT_187621.1, from coordinate 33,022 downwards.
AGCCTTCCGTCTCCAGGTTGGCGCGAAGCCATCAGGCTCAATGTCCCTGGTGGGTGATGGCTCAGCCCCGTGTGTCCTGGTGGGGCCCCCTGCCGCGGTGTGCAGGTGAACCGTGGTTCTGTGGACACGTGGCTCTGTGTTGCTGCTGCTTTTTTTTTTTTTTTGAGATGAAATCTCGCTCTGTCGCCCAGGCTGGAGTGCAGTGGCGTGACCTCGGCTCACTGCAACCAACGCCTCCTGGGTTCATGCCATTCTCCCGCCTCAGCCTCCCGAGTAGCTGGGACTACAGGTGCCCACCACCACGCCCAGCTAATTTTTTGTGTTTTTTAGTGGACACGGGGTTTCACCGTGTTAGCCAGGCTGGTCTCAATCTCCTGACCTTGTGATCCACCCACCTCAGCCTCCCAAAGCATTGGGATTACAGGCGTGAGCCACCGCGCCCGGCCTGCATTTCTTCTTTATTTTCTTTCTTTCTTTTCTGTCTCTGTTTTTCTCTAGTTTTTTGTTTTGTTTTGAGATGGAGTTTTGCTTTTGGTGTCTAAGCTGGAGTGCAATGGTGTGATCTATCTCGGCTCATGGCAAACTCTGCCTCCCAGGTTCAAGCGATTCTCCTGTCTCAGCCTCCTGAGTAGCTGGGATTACAGACGCGCACCATATTTATTTATTTTTGAGACAAAGTCTCACTCTGTCTCCCAGGCTGGAGTGCAATGGCACGATCTCAGCTCACTGCAGCCTCTGCTTGCCTGGTTCAAGTGATTCTCCTGCCTCAGCCTCCCGAGTAGCTGGGATTACAGGTGTGCGCCACCGCGCCCAGCTGATTTTTGTATTTTTAGTAGAGACGGGGTTTCACCACGTTGGCCAGGGTGGTCTCAAACTCGTGATCTCAGGTGATCCATCCGCCTCGGCCTCCCAAAGTGTCGGGATTACAGGTGCGAGCCACCACGCCCCGCCCCTTTTCTGTCACGTGAGACTCAATTCACGTGACAGAAAAGTCCCCATTTCTAAGTGAACGATGCTGTGGCTGTTACAAAGTCCAGAGCTGTTCAGCCATCACCATGTAATTCTAATTCCAGATCATTGTCCCCCTAGAGGAGGCCCTGTCCCCGTCAGCTGTCACTCCCCATCCCTCCCCTGCCCCGGCGCCCACGCATCCCCTTCCCGTCTCTGTGGCTTGGCCTGTCCTGCACATTTCATAGAAATGGGATCACACGCTGCATGGCCTCCTGCCTCTGGCGTCTCTCACTGAGTGTGATGTCCTCAAGGTACATCCGAGCTATGGCTGGGTCAGAGCCTGGCTCCTGATTATGGCTGAGCCGTGTTCCGGCACATGAAGGGGCCCCACCTTGTTTGTCCATGATGGACGCATGCAGGACCCACTGTTTTTGTTCATGATGGACGCGTGGAGGACCCACTGTTTTTGTTCATGATAGACGCGTGGAGGTACCAGGTACCACAGTGTCTGTCTGTGATGGACGCGTGGAGGGGCCCACTGTGTCTGTCCATGTGTCCGTGATGGACCTGTGGAGGGCCCCACTGTGTCTGTCTGTGATGGACGCGTGGAGGACCCACTGTGTCTGTCCGTGATGGACGCATGGAGGGCCCCACTGTGTCTGTCCGTGATGGAGGCGTGGAGGACCAACTGTGTCTGTCCGTGATGGAGGCGTGGAGGGCCCCACTGTGTCTGTCCGTGATGGAGGCGTGGAGGACCAACTGTGTCTGTCTGTGATGGAGGCGTGGAGGGCCCCACTGTGTCCGTCTGTGATGGAGGCGTGGAGGGCCCCACTGTGTCTGTCTGTGATGGAGGCGTGGAGGGCCCCACTGTGTCTGTCTGTGTGTCCGTGATGGACGCTTGTGCTGCTTCCACCCGTGGCCGTCGTGAGTTGTGCCGCCGTGAGCACGGGTGCAAACTTCCCAGTGGACACGTTTTCGTTTCTCTTGGGCTCATACCCAGGAGTAGGTATGGGTTGACAGCAGCTGTGAATCGCTGTTAGCAGCGTCCATATGCAGGTCCATGTCTGTGTGTTCCAGGCATGACTGGGTCTGGCTGGGGGGTGTTGGGTTCCTGCTCGAGGATAAGGGGCCCTTGCTGCTGCAGCCCACCCTCTGTGCCCAGAGCCTCCCGTGGGTCCCCTGCTCCAGGCCCAGCCCAGCCTCGCGGCCCCACCCCCAGGCTCTCCGGCACCTGTTTCTGTGTGGGGTGAGTGTCCCCCAGGGCAGCCCCTGGTGCCTCTTCTGGTCTCCTCCCCACCACACCCCAGCCCGAGCCTCCCCCCACCGCACCCCAGCCCGAGCCTCCCCCCAGCCTGAGCCTCCCCCCACTGCACCCCAGCCCGAGCCTCCCCCCACCGCACCCCAGCCCGAGCCTCCCCCCACCGCACCCCAGCCCGAGCCTCCCCCCACCGCACCCCAGCCCGAGCCTCCCCCCACCGCACCCCAGCCCGAGCCTCCCCCCAGCCTGAGCCTCCCCCCACTGCACCCCAGCCCGAGCCTCCCCCCACTGCACCCCAGCCCGAGCCTCCCCCCACCGCACCCCAGCCCGAGCCTCCCCCCACCGCACCCCAGCCCGAGCCTCCCCCCACCGCACCCCAGCCCGAACCTCCCCCCACCGCACCCCAGCCCGAGCCTCCCCCCAGCCTGAGCCTCCCCCCACTGCACCCCAGCCCGAGCCTCCCCCCACCGCACCCCAGCCCGAGCCTCCCCCCACCGCACCCCAGCCCGAGCCTCCCCCCACCGCACCCCAGCCCGAGCCTCCCCCCAGCCTGAGCCTCCCCCCACTGCACCCCAGCCCGAGCCTCCCCCCACTGCACCCCAGCCCGAGCCTCCCCCCACTGCACCCCAGCCCGAGCCTCCCCCCACCGCACCCCAGCCCGAGCCTCCCCCCACCGCACCCCAGCCCGAGCCTCCCCCCACCGCACCCCAGCCCGAACCTCCCCCCACCGCACCCCAGCCCGAGCCTCACCCCCCCAGCCCGAGCCTCCCCCCACTGCACCCCAGCCCGAGCCTCTCCTCCACTGCACCCCAGTGCCAGCCTCCCCCAACCGCACCCCGGCCCGAGCCTCCCCTCACCGCACCCCGGCCCGAGCCTCCCCCCACCGCACCCCGGCCCGAGCCTCCCCCCACCGCACCCCGGCCCGAGCCTCCCCCCACCGCACCCCGGCCCGAGCCTCACCCCAGCCTGAGCCTCCCCCCACTGTACCCCAGCCCGAGCCTCTCCTCCACTGCACCCCAGTGCCAGCCTCCCCCAACCGCACCCCAGCCCAAGCCTCTCCCCAGCCTGTGCCCCTACACAGGACATTCCCCAGGTCCTGCTCGCCTCACTGCCCCTCGCCCATCCCTTGCCGCCTGTTCCTGGGGTGGGGGTGCTCCTTCACCCTTCCTGACATCACCCAGATCCCTTGCGTCTCTGCTGGGCTCCTGGGGCTCTCGGCACCCACAGCCCATCCCCATTCCCCAGGTGCTGCCCCCTTGCCCACCACCTGTCCTGTGAGGACCTCTCCACCTGCCGGGCATCCATCCCGGGTCCCCATGGGGCTGCAGGGACCATTGGGAACGCAGCTGTCCGGTAACAACACTCTCTGCCTGGCAGCCCGGGGGCTTCTGGGAAGCTCAGGATGAGCTCACGGCTCAGAAAAGCGCTTTGCAAACTCTGGCTGCTTTCAGGCAGGGAGGCAGGCAGCATTGACTGTTCTGCAGATGCGTTTCAGCAGGGGTCAGATGCCTCGGCCCATCCGGCACCACGGAGCCCCCACAGTTACTGGCATTGGGCAAAAAAGAGGGAGAGAGATGAGGGAGCGAAGGAGGGAGAGGGAGAGGGGGATTTCTTACAGGAAGTCTTTGGTTCACACCCAGCCAAGGCCAAGAAGAGCCACCTTCTGTCCCCTGGTCTGTGCTGAGGCCACAGCCCCCCCGGGAGGAGGAGCCTCCGCCCAGGGCCTGGGCAGGTGCAGGAGGGGCCGGCAGAGCCGCCCACAGACAGCCTTAGAGAGGGAGACTCAGCAGGAAGCTGTGCGCCAGGGTTCGGCCCTGCCCGGCTGCAGCACCAGAAGACACTGAGGCGGCGGCCCCAGGGCCCATACCAGGCACCTGGCCGGAACCCTGACAGAAGGGAGCCCAGTTTCCTGGGGAGCCGTGCCAGCCTCCCAGGGCTGCTGTGAGGAAGCAGCACACACAGCTTCAAAGGCCAGGACTCTGTCCCCTCCCAGCCCTGGAGCCTGGAAGTCCAAAGTCAAGGTGCGGACAGGGCCGCGCTCCTTCCGGCCCCTCCAGCATCTGGGGGATCCGGGCATCCCCTGGCTGTGGCCGCAGGGCTGGGATCTCTGCTTCTGTGTCCCGTGGCCTCCTCCCCGGGACTGTGTCTCCTTCGAATGAGGACACCAGGCACAGAACACCCGCTCGGCCAGTGCGGCCTTTTTTTTTTTAACCACTCACATCTGCAAGGACCGGATTCCCAAATAAGGCCACACACACAGCTTCCAGGTGCCAGGACATGATCACACCATTTTGGGGACACAGTTCAGCTCTGCACGGGGCACTCTAGTGACCAGGCCTGCTGAGGGGCCCTTCTCCCAGCCACCAAAGACTGGCAGTGTCTAGGAAGTGCCACCTGTGCCCCACGACCACCTGGAAGCCTCTTCTGTCTGCCCCCCAGCCCCCTCCAGGAGGAGCCCCTCCCATCCCCGTAGCCTGTTTCCCTCCCTGTAATGCAGGGCAGGGTTCCTGTGAGGGCTGAGGCAGCGGGCATTCAGCCAGGCTTACACGGAGCCCTCGGTCAGCGTTGCTGCGGGACTGGTCAGTGAGGGGTGCACCCTGGACAGAGGCGGAGGGAGAGACCGGGCCACGGGAGCCCAGGACTGGGCGCGGGGCGCCGGAGGTGGGTGGGGTAGTGCCCAGCAGGTCCCTAGGCGGCGCACCCCTATCCTCAGTCTGACCTGCTCCAGGGACCCTGGGCTGTGCTGTCACATTGGGGCCTGGGGAGCAAGTCGGAGTCTGTGCTTGTTCTTTCTGTTTCGTTGCTTTCCAGGTCTTTTAAAAACTGAGACAAAATTCACATACCACAAAATCCACTTTATTTATTTGAGACAGTATTTTGCTCTGTTGCCCAGGCTGGAGTGCAGTGGTGTGATCATAACTTACTGCAGCTTCCACCTCTCTAGCTCAAGTGATTCTCCTGCCATGGCCTCCTGAGCAGCTGGGACCACAGGTGCCCGCCACCATGCGCAGCTGGTTTTTGTATTTTTTGTGGAGATGGGATCTCACTATGTTGCCCAGGCTGGTCTTGAACTTCCTGGGCTCAAGCTGTTTGCCCACCTCAGCTTCCCAAAGTGCCGGGATGGCAGGTGTGAGCCACTACGCTCGGCCAAATCCACCTTTTTTTTTTTTTTTTTTTTTTTTGAGACAGAGTCTTGCTCTGTTGCCCAGGCTAGAGTGCAGTGGCACGATTTCAGCTCACTGTAACCTCTGCCTCCCGGGTTCAAGCAATTCTCCTGCCTCAGCCTCCCGAGTAGCTGGGATTGCAGGTACCCACCACCACACCTGGCTAATTTTTGTATTTTTAGTAGAGACGGGGTTTCACCATGCTGGCCAGGCTGGTCTTGAACTCCTGACCTCGTGATCCACCCACCTCGGCCTCCCAAAGTGCTGGGATTACAGGCGTAAGCCACCGTGCCGGGCCCAAATCCACACTTTAAAAAAGTATATTCACAGAGTTGTGCAACCACCACCTCTGTCTAGTTCCAGAACATTCCATCATCCCACAGGAAGCCCCGTTCCCATCAGCTGTCACTCCCCAGCCCATCCCCACCCCCTGATAACCTGAATGCTTTTCCTGTCTGTGTGGATTCCTGTTCAGGACAGGACATTTCATAGAAATGGCCTCACACACTGCGTGGCCTTCTGTGTTTGGCGTCTTTCACTGAGTGTGAGGTCCTCAAGGTGCATCCGTGCTGTGGCTTGGGTCAGAGCCTTGCTCCTTTTCATGGCTGGGTCGTGTTCCAGTGTGTGGACGGCCTCACTGTGCTGGCCCTGTTCCTCCGTGGTGACTGCGCTGCAGGAGCCAGGCTGTCATGAGCTGTGGGTCCACCTGGGAGCTGAGGGTCCACCCGGGAGCTGTGGGTCCACCCGTGAGCTGTAGGTCCTGTGAGCTGTGAGTCCACCCGTGAGCTGTGGGTCCAGGTGCCTATGAGCTGTGAGTCCACCCGTGAGCTGTAGGTCCTGTGAGCTGTGGGTCCACCTGTGAGCTGTGAGTCCACCCGTGAGCTGTGAGTCCACCCGTGAGCTGTGAGTCCACCCGTGAGCTGTGGGTCCTATGGGCTGTGGGTCCACCCATGAGCTGTGGGTCCAGGCGCCTATGAGCTGTGGGTCCACCCATGAGCTATGGGTCCTGTGAGCTGTGAGTCCACCCTTGAGCTGTGGGTCCTGTGGGCTGTGGGTCCACTCCTGAGCTGTAGGTTCAGGCTTTTGTGAGCTGTGGGTCCTCCTGATGGCACGTGGGAGTGCAGCTGCTGGGTTGTTACTCCCCATTCGCCTCTTTTGAGGAGCTGCAGGATGGTTCCCAGGCCACTGCCCCGCGTCCTCAGCAGCGCTTGTGGTTGTGGGTTTTTTGCGTGGAGCTGGTGTGGAGCTGTCTCTGGGAGTGGCTGTGATTGGCTGCTGGGTTGAGCGGTGGCTGTGATTGGCTACTGGGTTGAGCGGTGGCTGTGATTGGCTGCTAGGTTGAGCGGTGGCTGTGATTGGCTGCCGGATTGAGCGGCTCCGTGGGTTTCTTCCCCATTGGTTGTTTTCCATTGGCGGGCGGGGTGCCTGGCAGGCGGGCCCCTCGCCCCAGCGGCACGGACCCGTGTTGTCGCCCAGCCTCCAGGAGGTGATGGGTCGTGGCAAGGGGTGTGGGCGACAGTCTGCACCAGCCTCCGCTGCTGCGGTGCCTGGTCGCGGGGCCCCAGTGGGGCTGGCACAGGGCCTCAGGGTCTAGAACAGGGTGAGCCCGAGGGGGCGGAGTGCACAGGGTTTGAGGGCCCCCTGGTCCCACTCTCCCCTCAGAGCCCTGGCGGGAGTCTTACAAGCCCAGAACTGTCCCGAGCCCTCCGGCCCAGCCACGGGCTCCCCTGGCCTCTCGGGGCGGTTTCCTTCTTTCCCAGGGCCCCTGGCCACAGGGCCGGGCCCTTCCTCCCCTCACAGAGGAGGAGCCGTGGCCACCTGCGCGGTCTCGGCCGCGGTCTCGTGGGCAATGCGGCCTCTGCCCCGTCAGTCGCTGAGTACAGGCAGATGGGGCCCGTCCTCTCCACAGCCCGGCCGTCCTCCCACCCCCTCTGGCCCTGGGGCCTCCCCAGCTCCTCCAAGGACACCGAGAATGACCGCCTGTGGCCCAATGTGAGGTCCCATCAGGTGTCTGCCCCGCGGTGTCTAGGCCCCTGTGATGCGCCAGGGTCCTCACAGTGCGGGCAAGAGTGTGGCCGCGGGCGGGCTCGCGGCCCGGGGTTGCCCCAGCAAGTGCATCATTGACACTTGGTTTTCTACCAAAGCGAGAACGTTCTTTTCCCAGGACGCTACCACTTGTTCCTGCCCAGGGGGCCGAGGCCGGGTCTGGCCAGAGCCTGGAGAGGAGGGGCCCAGGCTCAGCTCTCCCTCCGCCAGCCCCAGATCAAGGGAGGCCACGGGGCCCGCTGAACCCCCTGGGCACGGACAGCAGGGAAAGAGCAGGGAGGGGACTTTGCTTCGGCGGCAGGGGCTTCTCGGGGACCTCAGCCTGCAGGGGTGGGGTGGGGAGAGCCCCAGGGGGGCGCAGCAGGGCCTGAGGTGCGCTTGGCATGCGTGGGGTGCTGGGTGAAGGGAGGCGGTCTTGGCCGCAGTTTCCCTGCCTGTGGTTTGGGGGCACCAGGAACAGCAGCTGGTCCCCGTGGAACGGAACCCAGCTCCCTGCAGTCTGGGGAGACCGAGGCCCATGCCCACCTGGGCATTCTGCACGTCCGCCGGGTGCCCCAAAGGGGGCTGGTCCTGCGGCGGGGCACGGGTGGGGTTGCGTGTTGACAGCGCCTGTGGGAGATCCGCCCCGTACAGTAATTCTCCTCGCACTGCCGGTAATTGCCCTGACTTACGGGGCCGGCATCATTTCCTGAAAGTCAGCCCCGGCCTTAGAGGAAGTAGGCGCCGGCGGCGGTGACTAAACCGACATGCAAATGCAGCCGGGCGGAGAGCCGCCCCCGTCCGCCCCGGCCGACCCAATGCTGGGGCTGCTGCCGCGGTCATGAGGGAGCCGCTCCCGGGCAGCGCTTCCTGGGGGACCCCTGGCCCCCCGAGCGCCGGGACCATGTCCCAGCTGCAGCTGTGGCTGCAGTTTGAGGCTCTGAACAAGGTAACACTCCCTTCCCGGGGCGGGCGAGGCCCTCGGGGGCAGGGGTCTGGGAGGTGGGACCCCATTCAGGACGGCCGGGCCCCCTGCCGGAGCAGCCGGCATCTCATCCTAGAGTCCGAGGCCGCCAGGATCTAAAAAAATCCCCACCCCGCCCCGTCCGTCTCTTCTGGCAGTGAGAGGGAATCTGCCGGAAGGTTCCGAGGCAGAGATTTAAGACTTCGGGCTGGGAGCGGCGCCCTGTGCGTAGGCTGGGGGACCCGAGCGGAGTGGGGGGGTCGGGCTCAGCCCTGCCCGGACGGGGGCCCTCAGTGACAGTGGCAGTGGCTGTCGGGAGGGCTGCGTCCCCCTCCTTCTGCCCCTGGGGTAGGACCCAGAGCTGTGGCTTTCCTCTGGAGAAGCCTCAGGTGGAGGGGCTCTGGGTGTCTTATGGGGCTCTTGTAGGGAGCGGAGGCTGGGTGGGCCTGGTCAGGGCTGGCTCTGGTGGCGCAGGCCGGCAAATCCCTGTGGCTCTGTGGCTCCCCATGGGTCCTGGAGCACAGGGCAGCGGCAGCACATCAGGTCTGGAGTCAGTTCTGGAGTCAGGTCTGGAGTTGGCTGCCCAGGGCAGGAGGAGCTGTGTCTGCTGCTTTTGAAGCGGGCAGAGCCAGGTCCTCCCAGCCAGGTCCTCCCAGCTCCCCACCTCAGCCCAGGGCTCCTGAAATGCTACAGAGACAAGAACCACAGCGGGCAGCCCCGGCCCTCCCTGGGGCCCCAGAACTGGGGGCTGGCGGGGAGGGATGCAAGTGTCACCCTTGAGGGGCCTTGGTGCTTGCCCTCACTACAGACTGCAGAGGGGCCCGGTTCCCTGGGGAGGCACTGGGTCCGCTGAGCTGAGGCTGGAGGGTGGGTGGGTCATGTGGTGAAGGATGCAGGAGCCTGGGCCGGCCTGGAGGGGCTGTGGAGGGACACACAGGCGCGGGTGGGACTTAGGCTGTCTCTGAGGTGAGCTGGTGGCTGCTAGGAGTCAAATCCAGATGTGGGCAGAGGACGGAGCCACTGTGGGGGGAGCTGGCCTGGCTCTGTTCAGCTTCCCACATGTGAACAGGGCCAGCCCTGGGAACCCCGTCTCCCTCTGTCCCTAATCGCTGAGGGCACCTGCTAGAAGTGAAGGCTTCGAGGGCTCATGCACCTGGTGGGGTGTCCTGTGCTGGGAAGGACCGGACAGGGAGCAGGGCGGGGCCTCGAGGCTGCGTTCTTGAAGCCTGAAAGCTGCAAGCACTCCCTCATTATTAGACTTTCACTTTTATTTATTTGTTTTTGTGACAGGGACTTGCTCTGTCACCCAGGCTGGTGTGCAGTGGCACGATCTCGGCTCCCTGCAACCTCCACCAACTGGGTTGAAGCAATCCTCCCACCTCAGCCTCCTGAGTAGCTGGGACTGCAGGCACATGCTGCCATGCCCAGCTAATTTTTAAACGTTCTGTAGACATGGAGTCTTGCTGTGTTGCCCAGGCTGGTCTTGAACTCCTGGGCTCAAGTGATTCTTTCACCTTGGCTCTAAAACAGTAGGATTACAGGCATGAGCCACTACGCCCTGCTTGACTTTTAACTTTTTTTTTGAGATAGGGTCTCGCTCTGTCTCCCAGGCTGGCGTGCAGTGGCGCAATTATAGCTCACTGCAGCCTCGACCACCTGGGCTCAACGGATCCTCCTGCCTCAGCCTCCTGAGTAGCAGACGTGAGCTCCCCCCTGCCCGACTTGACTTTAACTTTTCAAACTGTTTTAGAATGACAGAAAAGCTGCAGGGACAGTGCAGAGAGTCCCCGTGCACCCACTCCCGGGCTCCCTGCTGTTCTATCTCCCGTCTGTGGCTGTCACGGCTGATGAACCAACATCCGTACGCCACCGTTAACTCCTGAGGCCCACGCTTTGCTTGGATTGCCTCAGTTTCCCCCATGTCCTTTCCTGCCCAGGACCCCACGTGGTGTTTAGGCGTCTCCTCAGGCCCCTCTGGGCTGTGATGGTTTCTCAGAGGCCCGTGTTTCAGATGCGTTGGGCGGTCCTGGGGCTGGTCGGGTGGTGTGGATGCCCTGGAGTAGTCGGGCTGGTGTTTCCTCAGACTGGGGCAGGAGTTTTGGGTGGAGGACCCTGGGCGGGAGGACCCTGTTGTCCTGTCTTCTTGGGCCAAGGGCACCTGGTGAGGGCGTGGGGCAGGTGTCTCTGCCTGAGGTCCCTTCCCTCTGTCCACGCTGAGCTCCGGGGAAGGACTGGCCGTGTGACCCACGCATTTGGGTTTGGGGAGCTCTCCTCCGCTCTGCCTGCGCTCCCTGCACCACCAAGGCCTGGGCGGTTCTGGGCCCGATAGCAACTCACCCCCGCTCCTGGCTGGGGCCTTGACCAACTCAGGAGCCCCTGACCTTGCCCGGGAAATGCTTCCACGGAGGGTCCGGGCCACAGGTCAGCGTGACCAGGCCCTCTGCAGCCTGGGTGGGCAGTGTCCGGAGGGCCCTCGTGGGCCTCAGTGGGATGAATGCTCCCCAACCCTGCCGATCGGGGCCTCCAGAGGCTCTGGGAGGTGGACTGCTCCTACCCTCCTGGGGTGGGGGGTGCTGCACCCTACCTGGCTCTGGGCCTCAGGCGGGCAGCATGGACACCTCTGTCCCGGGGGTCTCTGTTTGGGGGCAGGTTCCTGAAGGTCCCTAGTGATCAGTGCCCAGGTGCTTGGGTCTGACAGGGTGGGCAGTGGGCAAAGCTGAGCAAGGTGAGGGGGACGGAACCCACAGCTTCCAGGGAGAGACAGCGCCCCCTTGACATGCCTGGTTTTTTTCTTTGTTTGTTTTTCTTGAGATGGAGTCTCCCTGTGTCACCCAGACTGGAGTGCAATGGCACGATCTCAGCCCACTGCAGCCTCTGCCTCCTGAGTTCAAGCAGTTCTCCTGCCCCAGCCTCTCGAGTAGCTAGGATTACAGGCACGCACCACCATGCCCAGCTAATTTTTGTGTTTTTAGTAAAGACAGGGTTTTACCATATTGGTCAGGCTGGTCTTGAACTCCTGACCTCAGGTGATCTGCCCACCTTGGCTTCTCAAAGTGCTGGGGTTACAGGCGTGAGCTACCATGCCCAGTCTATTTTTTTTTTTTTGAGACAGAGTCTTGCTCTGTCACCCAGGCTGGAATGTAGTTGTGCAGTAACAGCTCACTGCAGCCTTGACCCCTCTGGGCTCAGGTGATCCTCCCGCCTCAGCCCCCCGAGTAGCTGGGACTACGGGCATGCACCACCACACCCAGCTAATTTTTGTATTTTTAGTAGAAATGGGGTTTTGCCATATTGTCCAGGCGAATCTTGAACTCCTGGACTCAAGCAATCTTCCACCTTGGCCTCCAAGTGCTGGGATTACAGGCGTGAGACATCACATGTGGCCGGACACGGTGGCTCACGCCTGTAATCCCAGCACTTTGGGAGGCCAAGGTGGATGGATCACCTGAGGTCAGGAGTTCGAGACCAGCCTGACCAACACGGTGAAACCCCGTCTCTACTAAAAATACAAAAATTAGCTGGGCGTGGTGGCACGTGCCTGTAATCCCAGCTACTCGGGAGGCTGAGGCAGGAGAATCGCTTGCACCTGGGAGGCAGAGGGTGCAGTGAGACGAGATCACACCATTGCACTCCAGCCCGGGCGACAGTGTAAGAATCCGTCTCAAAAAAAAAAAAATGAAATGATGTACATACATCTCCTTCACTGGGCAGCGCGTGTGTGTGTGTCATCCCCATGGCGAGCCCCACCTCTGGGCGTGGCTGCCCCCGCCCCTGCCTCCGGCACAGGGCATGGCACCAGGCTCACCCCAGACCCGAGCTGCTCAGAGTTCCTGCAGCATTGCTGCCCTTCAGGTGCTGCAGAAGTCAGACGCCGTCCTGCGTGGCCCTGAGGGTTGGTGTTTCTCACCCATTGCTTGTTTATTTTTTTCTTTTTTGAGACGGAGTCTCACTCTCTCGCTCTGTCACATGGTGGCTCACGCCTGTAATCCCAACACTTTTGGATGCCGAAGCAGGCAGATCACTTGAGGTCAGGAGTTCAAAACCAGGCTGGCCAACATGGTGAAACCCCGTCCCTAGTAAAAATACAAAAAAATTAGCTGGGCATGGTGGCGCACACCTGTAATCCCTGCTACTTGGGAGGATGAGGCAGGAGAATTGCTTGAACCTGGGAGGGCCGTGGTGTCTCCCATTCCCACATGCTCCAGTGTGTGGAGGGCCGTGGTGTCTCCCATCCCCACGTGCTCCAGTGCGTGGAGGGGCCTTGGTGTCTCCCGTACCACCCTCACCGGGCCTGGCCTTGTCTTCCAGGACTCCTCCTATTTTGAGGACTTCTCCAACATCTCCATCTTCTCCTCGTCCGTGGACTCCCTGTCGGACATCGTGGACACGCCCGACTTCCTGCCGGCTGACAGCCTCAACCAGGTGTCCACCATCTGGGACGATAACCCTGCCCCCTCCACCCACGATAAGGTCAGTGCGCCCGGTGCCCCCAGCCAGCCCCGACCCACCAGCGTGGCCTCCCCAGCCCGGGACCCACACGGTCCAGTGAGGTCTCAGTCTCCCCCACTCTGCGTGCCAATGGCTGTGCCTGTCACTGTCGGCGCCATCTGTGGCCATGGATGAGGTGGTTAGTTGAGGGTCCTCTTGTGTCCTGAATAGGAGAAGGCGACGTCCAGGACATCTGTGGCTACCACATCTGGGCGGTGCTCCTGGCATGGAGTTGGGGGGGGCCAGGATGCTGCCCAGCGCCCTGCAGTGCCCATTATGGCCCCACCTGAGAGGGACCCTGCCCCGTGTCCACCGCACCCGGGGAGTCCCTGGTCTAGAGAAGCACAGGAAGGTGACGGGACAGAGAAGCGTGGTCAGGAAGGGCCCCCTGGAGAGGCAGCGCCCAGCGGGCCCAGGCAATGTGGCTGTCCAGGCAGAGGAACAGCACCTGTGGTGGCATCCAGCCCCATGGTGCCTGGGTCAGCAGTGGCCGTGTCCCCGCTAGTGGGGAGCTGAGAGGGCGAGGTTGGTGGATCCTGTCCCAGGGTGGGGAGCTGGACATTGTCCGTGGGGGCTGAGGGGCTGGGGTTTGCCTCCAAGAAGCTCCTGAAGGACCTGGGTGGGCCAGGCCTAGAGCAGGGGTTGTAGGGCAGCAGGGCCCCCAGGTTCTTCGGGCCTAGCCTCTAGCCGTGCCCCAGTGCGACTCAGTGGAGGTGTCTGGTGAGGGAGGCATGGCTGGGAGCCAGGCCTGGCAAGTCCCTTCCCCAATCCGGGCCTGTCCACGAGAGAAGCTTCTAGACTTTGGGAGCAGACGTTGGACATGTCTCTGGGACTGAGCGCCTTCCGGTGAGGGCCCATGCCAGCCTCCGCACGCTCCCGGCACAGTGGTGGGCTCACACCCATAGGCCGCTCTCCCGGGCCCTCAGGAAGGGGCAACCCGGGCAGCAGAACTCACGGGCTTGGGGGCCCAGGCAGGAAGCATCAGGGCACCCCGCAGCCACGGTGGGTGGCTCACGGTGGGCGGCTCAGGAAGCATCAGGGCACCCCGCAGCCATGGTGGGCGGCTCAGGCTTGGTCCCTCTGGCACAAGGGCCCAGCAGAGCATTTCACCCAGCCCGGGGCCCGTGCCCTCCCAGCTAGCTCCCAGGTCCTCAGCAGGGCGTGAGGAAAGAAGCCAGGGCCTGACCGGCCTGCTGTGGCCGGCACGAGGGCATCTGAAACCCAATGCCCGCCAGCCCCACCGGGAATGGTGACTCAGCCTTCCAGGAACCTGCGTGGCGTCTGTTTTTTTGTGTTTTGTTAACTTAAAAAAAAAAGGAGAGGGCAACTGAGTATAGGTTTCTAACCTTCCTGTGCCACGCTTCCACTTTCTTTAAAAACCCTCAGGAGTGTTCCTAGTGTTAGAAAATGCAGAAGCTGTGGACTCAGTTCATTAGCATCACTAGCCTGGTGGCTCCCACACACTGCCGAGAACCCGGCCCGGGCTCAGGCAGGCTTGGGCGGAAACCTCACCCGTCTCAGGACGTTGGAGTTCAAGGGGGGGACCGGGTCTAGAAGAGATGCTCTTATTTATTTATTTACTTATTTATTTTGAGACGGGATCTCACTCTGTCGCCCAGGCTGGAGTGTGGTGGCGCAACCTCAGCCCATTTCAGCCTCGACCTTCTGGGTTAAAGCGATCCTCCTGCCTCAGCCTCTCGAGTAGCTGGGTCCATAGACACACGACACCACGCCTGGCTAATTTTTGTATTTTTTGTAGAGATAGGATTTTATCATGTTGTCCAGGCTGGTCTGGAACCCTGGCCCCAAAAGATCTCGCCCGTTCTGCCTCTGCCTCCCACAGGCCTGAGCCACGCACCCGGCGGGATTCTCCCCTTTCCAATTCTTCACACTTTTTTTTTTCTTTTTTTAAGACAGAGTCTCTCGCTCTTGTCGCCCAGGCTGGAGTGCAGTGGTGCGATCTCAGCTCACTGCACCCTCCACCTCCCAGGTTCAAGAGATTCTCCTGCCTCCTCAGCCTCCCTAGTAGCTGAGATTACAGGCATGTACCATCGTGCCTGGCTAATTTTGTATTTTTAGTAGAGATGGGGTTTATCCATTTTGGTCAGGCTGGTCTTGAACTCCCAACCTCAGGTGATCCACCTATCTTGGCCTCCCGAAGTGCTGGGATTACAGGCGTGAGCCACCATGCCCGGCCCACGCTCACTTTTTTTTTTTTTTTTTTTTTGAGATGGAGTCTCGCCCTGTCACCCAGGCTGGAGTACAATGGCGTGATCTCAGCTCACTGCAACCTCTGCCTCCTGGGTTTAAGCGATTCTCCTGCCTCAGCCTCCTGATCAGCTGAGATTACAGGCGCCCACCACCACACCTGGCTAATTTTTTTTTTTTTGTATCTTTAGTAGAGACGGGGTTTCAGCATGCTGGCCAGGCTGGTCTCGAAATCCTGACCTCCACTCTGGGAGGCCTTGGCCTCCCAAAGTGCTGGGATTTACGGGTGTGAGCCACTGTACCCTGACCATGCTTACGTTTTTTATGGCTCGTATTACTGTTAGGATTTTTGCTTTTTAAGAGTGGATATATTCCAGAATCACACAGACCCTAGTTTGGACCCTACCATCCCCCAGCCATCCGTCCCGGGGTCCACACTGTCTCAGTGTTGGCGTCTGGACAGTGGGCATGACGACGGGCCACACCACCCCCCGACCCACCCGTTCACAGGCTTTACACGCCCAGTCAGTTCGGAGACCCCTGGGTGGGCCACAGACTCATCCAGAGGCCCAGCACACCTGTCTGCCAAGGCCTGGGGTCAGCTCCCCGAGGACAGTGTCACTGCCCACCCTGGTGAATCTGCATGAGGCTCCGGGCAGTCCTTCTCCCCAGGGTGGGGCCGCAGTGGGATGTGTTCTCTGGTCACTACAGTGGCAGGCATCCTTGCCCCATCTCTCACAGAGGAGGTGCTGCCCTCGAGGGGCCTCAGGGACTGCACCCACGGGGGTTCTTGGAGAGTGCAGGGCTGCCCTGGGCCACCCACCCTGTGTGCTGGGAGCCATCGGGTGAGGGACAAGGCCCAGGCCCGCCCGCCCCCACTGCCTCTGTCTCCTCTTCCCCCTCGACAGGGAGCTCCCAACCCCTTGTCTCCCAGGCCCCCGAGGGCCTCCTGCACTGCATGGGGCTGGCACACAGTGGGTCTCTCCTGTCAGACCCCTGTCCACAGCCTTCCTGGCAGCTCCCGCGGGACCAAGCTGTGTTGTCTGTCAGAACTAGCCGGGCACCTTCCTCCCGGGCACTCCAGGCAGGCACACTGGCCATCAGTGAGAAGGCAGCCAGGTGCTGGCCAGGAGGAGCGAGCCTTAGGCCCCAGGGAGGTGCCCACTGGGGAGGCTTGGGAGGCACCAGGGTCACCCTGAGAACAGCAGGAGAGCAAGACCCAGGGCCCTGGGGAGCGAGGATGGGGAGGCGAGGACGGGGCAGTGGGGAGCCTCCCTCTGGTGGCCAGGCTGCGAGGGCCCACCAGCTGTGACCTGTCCCGTCTGGCCCGGGCTGACATCCTGCTCCCCTTCCAGCTGTTCCAGCTCAGCAGGCCGTTTGCAGGCTTCGAGGACTTTCTGCCCTCCCACAGCACCCCGCTTCTCGTCAGCTACCAGGTGAGCTGGGCCCAGCCGAGAGCTCCCTCCCCTGCCCTCTCATGGGACCTAAGGAGAGGGCTCAGCACAGGCATCTCCATTGTGGGGAGCGCTTGGCTGGCCTAGAAGCTGGGAGTGCCCATTTTATAGCTGAGGAGATGGAGGCCCTGGGGGAGCACCTTGCTGCAGGGGCAGACAGAGCCGTCTCCCACCCCTGGGTCACTCAGCTGCCCATGGTCAGCCTGGCCCCTGCCCCTGGGGGAGCCCAGTGCCCGCGGCCGCTCAGGCCTGCAGTCTCCGCTGAGCTCCCGCCACGCACGCAGGAGCAGAGTGTGCAGAGCCAGCCAGAGGAGGAGGACGAGGCTGAGGAGGAGGAGGCGGAGGAGCTGGGGCACACAGAGACCTACGCCGACTACGTGCCGTCCAAGTGTGAGTGGCCCGGCTGCACCCAGCCCTGGGACAGGTTCAAACCCTTTTGTGGGACCGAGACCCTGCAGGTGACCACCGCCCGCACAGCCCACAGAGGGAATGTGAAGCTTCAGGGAGGGCCGGAGAGCCCGGGGACAGGTTCTACAATCCAGGCTTATACAAAACCGGGGTTCGCAGAGGGGAGAAGTGGAAAGGAACCTCAGAGGCACTGGGAGGATTTTTATGCATTTGCCCCTCCTGCAAGCCGCTGGCCACGCCCCCAACCAACCCAGCAGGCCGCGGCCACACCCCCGACCCGGCCAGCCCTGACCACTCCTCCACCCAGGCATTCCTGGCCACGCCCATGACCCGCCCAACGGGACCTGGCCACGCCCCCAAACTGCCCCGCCAGCTCTGGCCACGCCCCAGACCCGCCCAGCGTGCCATAACCGGCCCTGGTCACCCCTTGGCCATACCCTTTACCTTGCCCTCCGTCCTTGCTCCTCCAGCCAAGATCGGGAAGCAGCACCCAGACCGCGTGGTGGAGACCAGCACACTGTCCAGCGTCCCACCCCCAGACATCACCTACACCCTGGCCCTGCCCTCGGACAGCGGGGCCCTGTCTGCCCTGCAGCTAGAGGCCATCACCTACGCCTGCCAGGTGACCGCATGTCCCCAACCCAGCCCAGCCTGTGTCCGCGAGGCCCCTGGGGAGGGGCCGGGCCAGCACCCCCAGGCCCTGACGCCTGCTCTCCGGCAACAGCAACACGAGGTCCTGCTCCCCAGCGGGCAGCGCGCGGGCTTTCTCATCGGCGATGGGGCCGGCGTGGGCAAAGGCCGGACGGTGGCCGGAGTCATCCTGGAGAACCACCTGCGCGGCCGGAAGAAAGCATTGTGGTGAGGCCCTGCCTGGGGCAGGGGGCGGGAGCGGGGGTGGGGGGCGGAAGCGGGGGGCGAGGGGGAAGGGTGGGCGCGCCTGACGCCCCCACCCCGCAGGTTCAGCGTCTCCAACGACCTCAAGTACGATGCGGAGCGCGACCTGCGGGACATCGAAGCCACGGGCATCGCGGTGCACGCGCTCAGCAAGGTAGGGGCTGTGCTCGGCAAAGTAGGGGGCAAGGTGGGGACCGTGCCCTGCAAAGTGGGGGCTGCTCAGCTGGGTGGGCCAGCAGCCAGGGCAGGCTCTGCCCAGCACCCTTACAGATAGGGAGACCCAGGTCCAGAGCCTGCTGAGCCGGGGCCCCATTCCACACCTGTTCTGTGCATCCCCAGATCAAGTACGGTGACACCACTACCTCAGAGGGCGTCCTCTTCGCCACCTACTCCGCCCTGATTGGGGAGAGCCAGGCCGGCGGCCAGCACCGCACTCGCCTCCGGCAGATCCTGGACTGGTGTGGGGAGGCCTTCGAGGGCGTCGTATCCTGCTGGGGGCAATCGGGAGGGGAGGGCTGGATTAGGGGGTCGGAGGGAAAAGGAGGATGGAGGAGTGGGAGAGGAGGGGTGGGAGTCAGGGGAGAGGAGGGCAGGATGGGAGAGGGTAGGAGCGGAGGGGTGGGGCTGGGGAAGGGCTGGAGGCCACTGGAGCTCACTACCCTGGATGTGGCCACCCAGCCCCCAGCTTTGCTCAGGGTTTAGGACTCCGGATAGAAGACTTTTCTGGTCCTGGGAGGCTGGCCCTGTGGGTACCACACAAGTGACCATCATCATTCACCACAGGGCTCCGGCTTGGTTTCTTGGTTCTGATAAGTGGGATGAGTGACCATAGATGTGGTCCTGATGTTTGCCATGATGCCGTGGGCAGAGGGTGGCCACTGAGCTGCTCCCCAAGTCAGGAAGGTGCCAACCCCAGCTGATAGTGTGGTGGGCACAGTTCACTCCCCAGCATCCCAGGGCTCTCGTCGGCAGGCTGCGGTTCGGAGGGGCTCCCCCACAGGAGACCCAGGACAGTTAGCAGCAAAGGCACGGCAGGGCACCCCTTGGCCAGGCTCAGCCCTGGTGCTCGGCCCTGCAGGGTGCACCTTGGGTGTTGGGGTGTTGGGAGCACAGGCTCAGATAAGGGAGGGACGTTGGCCTGCAGCATCCACTTCATGCACAGGACATGGCCATGGCTTTGCTGTTCAGTTAACGCCGAGACACAGAACATTCAGACTGGCCAGAAACAGAACGGGAGACTGCTGGTGTCTTCGCACCCGGCTGAACAATCTATGTGCAACAATCTACGAAATAGCGATAACCCTGAGATCATACCTCGCTGAGCTGCTACGTGGCGGCAGGGCCGGCCGTTTAATTTGTATTCTCCCAGTTTTCCTTCCTCAGACTGCTTTCCTGGAACTTGGCTTTCTTTCGTCTTAAAATATTAAGAACCTGGCCGGGTGCAGTGGCTCACGCTTGTAATCCCAGCACTTTGGGAGGCCGAGGCAGGCGAATCACGAGGTCAGGAGTTCGAGACCACCTGGACAACATGGTGAAACCACGTCTGTACTAAAAATACAAAAGTTAGCTGGGCGTGGTGGTGCGCACCTGTAATCCCAGCTACCCGGGAGGCTGAGGCAGGAGAATCGCTTGAACCCAGGAGGCAGAGGTGGCAGTGAGCCGAGATTGCCCCACTGCTCTCCAGCCCAGGCGACAGAGCGAGACTGTGTCTCATCTAAAAAAAAAAAGAGTTCCAGACTGTCTTGACCAATATGGTGAAACCCCGTCTCTACTGAAAATACAAAAATTACCCGGGCGTGGTGGCGCACACTTGTAATCCCAGCTACTCAGGAGGCTGAGGCAGGAGAATCGCTTGAACCAGGGAGTCGGAGGTTGCAGTGAGCTGAGATCGCGCCGCTGCATTCCAGCCTAGTGACAGAGCGAGACTTCGTCTCAAAAAAAAACAAAGAATTAGGGCTGGGCACGGCTCACACCTGTAATCCCAGCACTTTGGGAGGCTGAGGCAGGCAGGTCACTTGAGGTCAGGAGTTTGAGATTATCTGGCCAACCAAACGGCCAACCCCGTCTCTACCAAAACTACAAAAATTAGCCGGTTGTGGTGGTGGCACACACCTGTAGTCCCAGCTCCTTGGGAGGCTGAAGCAGGAGAATCACTTGAATCTGAGAGGCAGAGGTTGCAGTGAGCTGACATTGTATCACTGCACTCCAGCGTGGGTGACAGAGCAAGACCCTGTCTCAAAAAAACAAACAAAAAAGAAAACAGGTTCCAGGTATCCTCCTCCGATGGCAACGTCCTGCGATATCATGGTTTAGGGATCCCACCCTTCCTCGCCGGAGGCCCCATCCTCGGTGTGTGTTGTTTAGAGTCTGGGAGGAGCCATCCCAGGCCACACCCATCTAATGGTCGTGTGGGGGCCGCCTGCCCGCCCGCCCCCCATGGTAGCCGGCTGCCACTCCGACCTGGGCTTCCCTCGTGGAGTTCTCAGCCGCACAGGCGTTTGCCCCCCACCAGGAAGGTGGGGTCTTGGGTGGTCAGGACCTGGGCTCCTGGGGTCGCCCCCGTCCTTCAGAATACTCCTTAACCCACGTGTGCCTCAGATCGTGTTCGACGAGTGTCACAAAGCCAAGAATGCCGGCTCCACCAAGATGGGCAAGGCTGTGCTAGACCTGCAGAACAAGCTGCCCCTGGCCCGCGTGGTCTACGCCAGCGCCACAGGTGGGGCGGTGCGGATCCCACGTGACCCACCCGCAGCAGCGTCTTTCTGCCTGGCTGTCCCCGCGAAGGGGTATCCCACACGCGTACTCAGCCTCCGTCTGCACCCTGCTCCTCCTCGGACACTGGGGCACCTCTGCGCCTGTCCCAAGGCCACGCTGGCTCTCTTCAGGCCCATGGCTCCAACCCCGCAGGGCCCCTCGTCGGGTGGTCCCAACTTAGTCGTCCCCTGACGCGGCCTCTGGGCCCTCCCGGGTTGGGGAGCTGACGGCAGCTTCCCCCCACAGGTGCCTCTGAGCCTCGGAACATGATCTACATGAGCCGCTTGGGTATCTGGGGCGAGGGCACACCCTTCCGGAACTTTGAGGAGTTCCTGCACGCCATCGAGAAGAGGTGAGTGCCCTTCTCACCCACGTGGAGGGGCGGCGGGGGGTGGGGAGGAGGCCTCAGGCCCATCAGCCCAAGGCCTGGCACTGCCACGTGTGCTTCCCCAGCACCCAGAGGTGCTGAATGTGGGTCGCTCGTTTCACTGCCTCGGGCTGCCCAGCACTCCCAGGGAAGCCAGCCCCTCCGCAGCCCTTCCTGCCCCGTCCCCGCCAGGCTCAGCTGCCAACTGCCTCAGTGGCCGCCAGGGCTCTGCTCCTGCCGACCCCGCCCTCTCTGCGACTGGCTCTGCCTCGCGCTCCGAGTGGCTCCATCCCCACGGGCTCTGGCCGTGCTCACGGGGGCTGTGTCCATCCGCAGGGGCGTTGGCGCCATGGAGATCGTGGCCATGGACATGAAGGTCAGCGGCATGTACATCGCACGCCAGCTCAGCTTCTCCGGCGTCACCTTCCGCATCGAGGAGATCCCGCTGGCCCCAGCCTTCGAGTGCGTCTACAACCGCGCGGCCCTGCTGGTGAGCCTGCGCACCCGACCCGGGGACCCCTGTGCGTTTCCCGGGTGAAATTGCTCCCCCGTGGCCTTGCAGATGCCACAGGCGTCATCAGGTGACGGCCCGCCCTGTCCTGTCCTGGGGTTTTTTTTTTGTTGTTTTTTTGAGACAGTCTCGTGCTGTCATCTAGGCTGGAGTGCTGTGGTGTGATCTCAGTTCACTGCAACCTCTGCCTCTTGGGTTTAAGCGATTCTCCCCCCTCAGCCTCTCGAGTAGCTGGAGTTACAGGTGCCCGCCTCCACACCCAGCTAATTTTGTGTATTTTTTGGTAGAGAACGGTGTTTCTCCATGTTGGCCAGGTTGGTTTCAAACTCCTGACCGCAAGTGATCTGCCCGCCTCGGCCTCCCACAGTGCTGGGATGACAGGCGTGAGCCACGTGCCCGGCCATCACTGGGGTTTTTATGTGGCTGTGATAACGAGGGATGGGACCAAACCACCGCCCCCCTTCCTGTGGTGCCCAAGCCCTTTGCCCCCAGGTCCTGGCCCACAGCTGGCAGTTGGTAGCCGTGTTCAGCATCCACATTGCTGTGGGCCATGTGGCTTGGTCGTTCCCTCCATGTTTGGACAGGTCCTGTTTTCTCCCCCTCACGCCCAACAGCCCTGTATGTTCGATGGTTTTTTTTTTTTATTTTTTGAGACGGGGTTTCCACTCTTGTTGCCCAGGCTGGAGTGCAATGGCACGATCTTGGCTCACCGCAACCTCCGCCTACCAGATTCAAGCAATTCTCCTGCCTCAGCCTCCCGCGTAGCTGGGGTTACAGGCATGTGCCACCAGCCCGGCCAATTTTATATTTTTGGTAGAGACAGGATTTCTCCATGTTGGTCAGGCTGGTTGGTCTCAAACTCCTGAGCTCAGGCGATCTGACCGCCTCAGCCTCCCAAAGTGCTGTGATTACAGGCGTGAGCCACCACACCCAGCCTCTTCACTCGTTTCTTTAGGTGACACAACCAGCATCTCCCGTAACCCCCAGGGCCGGGTTGCTCTCCGGGGTGGGGCCGTCCTGAGCACTTTGGGGTATGGAGCAGCATCCGTGGCCAGAGTCCCAGCCACCCTAACCCAGCCCACCCAGTCATGCCGGGACCAGCCCCCAAACCTGACCACCACAGCCAGCCCCAGACATGCCCAGTGTCCCCTGGACAGGATCACACCTGGGTGAGACCCTGGTCCAAAGCAAGAGAGGCGTGGCTGCGAGCACCCTGTGTTCTTGGAAGGAGCTGAGCCTGTTTGCCGCGGGCGCGGAGTCTGTGCAGTTTGCAGCACGGCTTCCCCACCACGAGTGTTTTGGTTTTTCAGGTTTTTGCCGTACAGGTAGAGGCAGTGCCTCTTACAGTGCACACCCCCAGCACCCCCATCCTGCCCTAAATTCCACCTGGCGTGGGGATGCCTTGCCCAGGGCTGGCGGCAGGTGGGCCGGGGCCCGGGTCGGGAGCCAGGAGCCACAGCTCAGGGGCGCCTTGTGACGTGTCATTGCAGTGGGCCGAGGCCCTGAACGTGTTCCAGCAGGCGGCCGACTGGATCGGCCTGGAGTCGCGCAAGTCCCTGTGGGGCCAGTTCTGGTCGGCACACCAGCGCTTCTTCAAGTATCTGTGCATCGCAGCCAAGGTGCGCCGGCTGGTGGAGCTGGCCCGAGAGGAGCTGGCGCGAGACAAGGTGAGCGGCTGCGGCCTTCGAGGGCTGAGGGCGGCCGGGCCTGCAGGGGCGGAGGCTGCTCTTCTTCCAGGTCCTTCCTGGCCCCTCCCCAGACGTGGGCGGGGGCTGCACCCTGGTGGGTGAGAGACGCCCGGATGTCCGTCTTCCAATCAGAGCCAGCCAGGGTGTCAGAACAGCGGAGTGTGACCACACAGTGGGCAGCTCACCATCCCGAGACAGGCAGCCGGCAGACCCCCACCCAGCAGTGTGTGTTGTAGGGGGGCCGTGGCCCCTCCTGGGGAGGCGAGCACAGCAGCAGAGTGAGGGATGTGGCCATCACCCCAGGCCTGGCAGGTTCTGGCCCCACAGAGGCCCCACAGCAGGGCTGGTGGCTCACAGTCCTCTGCCGTCCCACAGTGCGTGGTCATCGGGCTGCAGTCCACGGGCGAGGCGCGCACGCGGGAGGTGCTGGGGGAGAACGATGGGCACCTCAACTGCTTCGTCTCGGCCGCTGAGTAAGTGTCACGGTGGGGACAGGACTGTGGGCTTCCTGCGCTCATGGCCACCCCTCTCTGTGGCCACCTGTGGCCTGACCCTGCCCCTTGGCCCCAGCAGCAGGAGGTGCTGGGGTGGGCTTTGCTGGGCCCCCAGCCTCAGCCACAGAGGCCTTCACCGCTGCTCCAGGTCTAAAGCAGAGGCTTGGAGGTGGACCCCAGGCATGGTGGGCCTGGAAGGTTTGGGACATGGTCTCCAGGGGTCTCAGAAGGAGGCTTCCTGCATCTGTGCCGTTTTAACAAGGGGGCTGTGGATTTTAGGGGCTGGCCCTCCCAGCTGTCTGAAGCCCCAGCCTCTCCCCTGTTGGTTGAGAATGCCCCGGGAGGGTCACAGCAGCCCCCCTAGATCCCCCCATTGCCTGGGGGTCGGAGCTCCCCAATGCCCCCAGCTACCCCTTCACCCTGCCCCCTGCCCCTGTCCTGGGAGCCATCATCATATCCGGCCACATTCCTCAGAGCGGGGGAAGCCTGGTGGCCGAGGTGGCCCTGTGACACCAGGAGGCCAGAGGAGAGCTCACAGGCAGCCCCCAGTCCTCCCCAGCCCACTCCACACAGGAGACCCTCTGCCCAGGCCCGGTCCTGTCCGGGACCCCCACAGGGACCCAGGGGTGCGTCCAGCTCCTGGAGAGCAACCCCGCCTGGCCTCAGCTCCTCGTGTGAGAATAAACTCCGCGTCTCACTTTCAGAGGCGTGTTCCTGTCGCTAATTCAGAAGCACTTTCCGTCCACCAAGAGAAAGCGGGACAGAGGAGCGGGCAGCAAGCGGAAACGTAAGCCCTGCCCCCCATGGCCCCACCCACCCCTGCCCCTCTGCTTTCTCCCCCCGGGGGCTGGCTGGTCGCTCCCTGCTTCCCCCACTCCCCCGTCCACTCAGCCAAATGCAGGTCCTGTCCGTGCCAGGCAGGCTCAAGGCTCCGCTGCCAGTGGCAGGTCTTGCGTGGACCCTGCCATGGAACGCTTAGGGAAGAGGAAGCAACAGACAGCCTGAAGGACACAGACGTGGGTGCCGAGCGAGACCCGGGGGGCGGGACACGGACGCGGGTGCTGAGCGAGACCCCTCCCACCTTCCGTTTTCAGGGTCTCCACGGTCCCTTGGGGAGCCCATTGATAACCCCCAGGCTTCTGTCACAGGGAAGCCCAGAGCTGCCTGTCGAAGTCTGGTGTGTGGCCTCCCCAGGCACCCCGCGTGTCCACCATACTGGCCAGGCCTGAAAGGACGTTGGATATGGGTTTATTAATATTGTCCCGTTGGCTGGGCGTGGTGGCTCACGCCTGTAATCCCAGCACTTTGGGAGGCCGAGGCGGGTGGATCACCTGAGGTCAGGAGTTTAAGACCAGCCTGGCCAACATGGTGAGACCCTGTCTCTACTAAAAATACAAAAATTAGCTGGGCGTGGTGGTGGACGCCTATAATCCCAGCTACTTGGGAGGCTGAGGCAGGGGAATCGCTTGAACCTGAGAGGTGGAGATTGCAGTGAGCCGAGATCATGCCACTGCACTCCAACTTGGGTGACAGAAAAAACTCTTGTCTCAAAAAAATTAATAAAAATAAAATATTGGCTAGGTGCAGTGGGTCACGCCTGTTGTAATCCCAGCACTTTGGAAGGCTGAGGCGGGCAAATCACCTGAGGCCAGGAGTTTGAGACCAGCCTGGCCAACATGGTGAAACTCCATCTCTACTAAAAATAGAAAAATTAGCCAGGTGTGGTGGTGCATGCTTGTAATACCAGCTGCTCAGGAGGCTGAGGCAGGGGAATTGCTTGAACCCGGGAGGTGGAGGTTGCAGTGAGCTGAGATCGCACCACTGCACTCCAGCCTGGGCAACAGAGTGAAACTCCATCTCAAAAATAAATAAATAAGCCAGGCGTGGTGGTTCACGCCTATAATCCCAGCACTTTGGGAGGCTGAGGCAGGTGGATCACGAGGTCAGGAGATCGACACCATCCTGGCCAACATGGTGAAACCCCATCTCTACTAAAATACAAAAGATTAGCCAGGCGTGGTGGTGGGCGCCTGTAATCCCACCTACTCAGGAGGCTGAGGCAGGAGAATCGCTTGAATCCAGGAGGCAGAGAGTGCAGTGAGATGCCACCGTTCTCCAGCCTGGCGACAGAGTAAGACTCCGTCTCAAAAGAAAATAAATAAATAAAATATGGCCCCCCACACCGTACCCTCCTGGCCACAGGGCACGGGGTTCCCTAGAGGGCGTCCCTGGAGAACAGCTGAGCTGCTTGCCCAGAGGCAGGGGGTTCTCGGATGGACCTCCCCAGCTCGGACCACTGGCCTTGCTCTGTCCTGCTGCGTCTCCTCCACCTGCTCCTCCACCTTGCTGCGGTCTGGCCCTCGGTGACCCTGTCCTTCCCTGCAGGGCGACCTCGGGGACGCGGGGCCAAAGCCCCCCGGCTGGCGTGCGAGACAGCGGGCGTCATCCGCATCAGTGACGACAGCAGCACGGAGTCGGACCCTGGCCTGGACAGCGACTTCAACTCCTCCCCCGAGTCCCTGGTGGATGACGACGTTGTCATCGTTGATGCAGTCGGGCTCCCCAGTGACGACCGGGGTGAGGGCTTGCCCAGGCTGGCCAGCCACCTGTGGGTCAGGATTCCAGTCCAGGCTGAGCAGCCACCTCTGGGTCAGGATTCCAGCCTGAGGCTCCCCCGGCCTCCTGGCGGTCACCACCCACCCCAGGTTGTAGCCCTCAGTCCAGCCCACCTGAGCCCAGCTGCTGCTATGGTGCCCACTTTACAGATGGGGGAAACTGAGGCCCAGAGAGGGGAGGTCAGGGGTTATACCACTGGTCAGAGGCAGAGCTGGGGCTTGGGGCTGGGCAGTCCCTACCCCTGTGGAGGCAGTGAGGTCACAGTGTTTGGTCCGCGACAGGAGGCTTAGTCTCGCCCCAGCTGGTCTCAGGGAGACAAGTGCAGAAAAGCAGTCCTGGGCCACGGTGCCGGGCTTCCCCGCCACCCTGCCGTCCCTCAGGGTTGCCCCGGGCCCCTTGTCCTTGCCCTCCAGGGGCCAGCCTTGAGTTAGGTGGGCCCTAGAAGGCAGCCAACATGTCCTGCCCTGACCCTCCACCTCCTCCCTAGGACCCCTGTGCCTCCTGCAGAGAGACCCGCATGGCCCCGGGGTCCTGGAGCGGGTGGAGCGGCTGAAGCAGGATCTGCTGGACAAAGTGCGGCGGCTGGGCCGGGAACTGCCAGTCAACACCCTGGACGAGCTCATCGACCAGCTGGGCGGCCCCCAGCGGGTGGCGGAGGTGGGTGGGACGTGGCAGCTGGAGTGTGGTGGGCGGGGCATGGGCAGTGGGTGGGGCTTCACGCAGGCTGTGTGCAGCTCTGGTGGCCCCTGCTGGTCACTCTGCGTCTCCGCGGCCCTGCGAGGAGGGGGCGTTTGGGGAGCCCTGGGGCAGCAGCGTGCTGTCCAGCTCGGCCCGGGAGGCCACGACCTCCTGTGGACGGCCTGCCCCATCCCTCTAAGCCCCAGATCCCCCAGCCTGGCCTGCGCAGGCCTCTGCTTAGATCGTTGCCTGAACGCACCCCTTGGGGTGCCCAGGGCCAGGACACAAGCCCCTGGGCCTGGTTCTGCGGCCTCCTACTCCCTGCCCCCGCCCAGCTTCACTTTTTCACTTCGTGGCGCCGGCTGGCTGATAATACCAGGCCTTGGACAGGCACACATCGCCTGGGTCCAGCAGTCCCGCCCTCCCTTTCCCAGCACCCCCACCTCCCGTGCACAGCTGGGAGCCCATGACCACTGTAGGACATAGGGAAGCTGAGACACGGGTGGCCAGACTCCTGCGAGGCCACAACACTGACGGCCGGTTTTGTCCCTGTCTCGGCTGCAGATGACCGGCAGGAAAGGCCGCGTGGTGTCCAGGCCCGACGGGACGGTGGCCTTCGAGTCGCGGGCAGAGCAGGGTCTGTCCATCGACCACGTGAACCTCAGGGAGAAGCAGCGCTTCATGAGCGGCGAGAAGGTGCGGGGCTGCAGTGCACTGGGCGCGGCCCACGGGACCCAAGAGGCACAGAGGGGCCCAAGGGTCCCCGGGGACTGTGGACCCGCGCACTTCTGGAGTGTGTGTGTGCCAGGTGCGGGCGCGAGTGGCCGTGTGGCGGGTGGTGTCCGCGCCCCGCAGGCCTCTCGCTGCCCCGGGACGTCCTGGTGACCTGGAGCGGGGGCCTAGTGGGTGAGGAGGTGGCGGCAACGCTGGGGCGGGCCTTGCACCAACCGTGTCCCGGCCCCTTCTTTCCCCCTAGCTCGTGGCCATCATCTCGGAGGCCTCCAGCTCGGGTGTCTCCCTCCAAGCCGACCGCCGTGTCCAGAACCAGCGGCGCCGCGTGCACATGACCTTGGAGCTGCCGTGGAGCGCCGACCGCGCCATCCAGCAGTTCGGTGAGTCCGGCCCCGCCCCCAGCGCTGCCTGGCCCCGCCCCCAACATGGTCTCGGCCCCGCCCCCGCCTGGCCGGGCCCTGAGAGCAGCTCTGCCCCCAGGCCGCACCCACCGGTCCAACCAGGTCTCCGCGCCAGAGTATGTCTTCCTCATCTCGGAGCTGGCCGGGGAGCGCCGGTTCGCCTCCATCGTGGCCAAGCGCCTGGAGAGTCTGGTGAGCAGGTGGGGGTGGGGCTGAGAACCAGGGACAGGCCCAGGAAGGCTCTCCAAAGCTTTGTGGGGTGCTAGAGGCCAGACCCCAGGTGACCAACTGATGGCCTCCCCACCCCTGGCAGGGGGCCCTGACCCACGGAGACCGCCGCGCCACGGAGTCCCGTGACCTCAGCAAGTACAACTTTGAGAACAAGGTACTGCAGGGAAGGCAGGGTTGGGGGGCGGGGCAGGGGCAGGGGTCTAGGGAGGGCCGGATCTAAGAGCCTGGGGGAGGGGGTAGATGGGGGCTGGAGAACGTGGGGCTCAGTGGTCTGGAGGAGGGCCGGGTCTAGGACCCCCAGGGGGGAAGGGGGCTTCTAGGGGCTCAGGGAGGTGGCATCCAGGGGTCTGGGGGAGGACCCAGTCTAGGACCCCCGGGGAGGAGGTGGCTGAGAGCTGGGGGAGGTGGGGTCTAGGAGTCTAGGGGAGGGCAGGGTCCAGGGGCCTAGGGGAGGGTGGGGTTCTGGGGAGGCAGGGGTCCAGGGAAAGCCAGCCTCCTCCCTGGGCCTCCTCCCCGAGTCACCTTCTCCCCCTAGTATGGCACCCGGGCCCTGCACTGTGTCCTCACCACCATCCTGAGCCAGACTGAGAACAAAGTGCCTGTGCCCCAGGGATACCCTGGAGGGGTCCCCACCTTCTTCCGGGGTAAGCTGGGCTGGTGGGGGTCTTCCTGGGAGGGGCAGGGGTTGCAGAGCACTGGGCTCCAGAGCAGCTGGGGCAGCAGGCTTTGTAGGCCGGTTGTGTGTTGAGTGACCCCTCCCCACACACGGACAGAGAGGGCTGTGAAGGCAAAGGGAGCCAAGGCGGCCCCCAGCAGCTGCCGGGTGGGTTTCCAGGGCAGCTG
The DNA here is from genome assembly GCF_000001405.40 of Homo sapiens. Lineage (NCBI taxonomy): Eukaryota > Metazoa > Chordata > Mammalia > Primates > Hominidae > Homo > Homo sapiens. Next base: position 3,893 of record NT_187621.1, on the reverse strand, counting down.
AGGGGCCTGGGGTTTGGGTTTACTCCCCAAGAACATGCTGTTCTCACTCCTGTAAGTCAGGCAAAAGGCTCCGCTCCTGGCCCTGGCCCTGGCCCTAGGCTGCAGCTGCTCCCCAGCCCCCCAGGGAGCTGCTGGTCTCTGGAAAAGGAGCTAGGGGCTTCGAGGGAGGGGCAGGGGTGGGAAGACCAGCATGTGAGGCCCCTCTCCCCGCAGACATGAAGCAGGGCCTGCTGTCTGTGGGCATTGGTGGCCGGGAGTCCCGGAATGGCTGCCTGGACGTGGAGAAGGGTGAGTGCCCCACACCCAGGCCCAGAGGCGCTCCTGTCTCTCATCTCATGCAACCTTGGCCTCGGGTGGTGAGCAAAGCAGGGAGAGGGATTCCCAGCGCAGCCTGAGGCTTGGCTCCCTCCCCTACCAGACTGTTCCATCACCAAGTTCCTGAACCGCATCCTGGGGCTGGAGGTGCACAAGCAGAACGCCCTGTTCCAGTACTTCTCAGACACCTTCGACCACCTCATCGAGATGGACAAGCGGGAGGGCAAATACGACATGGGCATCCTGGGTGAGCACAGGTGCCGGGGTGTGGTGTGGGTGGGTGTGGGTGCGGGGCTCGTGGGAACGCCATGCATCCTGGGTGGGCTCGGGGCTCGTGGGAACACCGGGCATCCCGGGTGGGCGAGGGGCTCGTGGGAACACCGTGCATCCCGGGTGGGCGAGGGGCTCGTGGGAACGCCGGGCATCCCAGGTGGGCTCGGGGCTCGTGGGAACACCGTGCATTGTGGGTGAGCACGGCGAGGGCCTAGGTGGGCAAGGGGCTCGTGGAAGCGCCATGCATCCTGGGTGAGCGAGGGTACTGGGTGAGACTGGGCGGATGCAGGCACAGGGCTCGTGGGATCACCGTGCACGTCTCTGGAAGGTGCCCAGGCTGGTGCACGCTGCCCACCATGCTCATCCCCAGGCTTCACGGGGCACCTGCTACATTGTTGTGAACGAAAGGCCGGCGAGCCTGTGCTTCCAGCCTCATGGGGCCAGGCCTGTCCATCAGGACCACTTCCCTGTGTCCAGATGAGGGTCGGGTCCGGGCCATGGCTACTTCACTCATGAGCAGTGCCGCAGCCAACCAGGCTCCCACGATCCCCCACAGCCTGCTTGGGGTCACCCAGCACCTGAGCAGCCCCCAGGCTCCTACAATCTCCTCACAGCCTGCTTGGGGTTACCTAGGATCTGAGCGGCCCCCAGGCTCCCACGATCCCCCACAGCCTGCTCGGGGTTACATAGGACCTGAGCGGCCCCCAGGCTCCCACGATCCCCCACAGCCTGCTCGGGGTTACCTAGGACCTGAGCGGTTGCCAGGTTGGGGCCCACGTGCACCATCCCCACGCTGGGCCAGGTCAGGCCAGGATCCAGGACACCCTCTCCTGTGCTCTCGGGGGGTCGTCTCTAGGGTGCGCCCCGGCTACGGGACTGACCCTGGCCCCAGCCCACAGTCCCAGGCCTGGACACCACTTACCCTCCACCCGCCCCCCTAGACCTTGCTCCCGGTATCGAGGAGATCTACGAGGAGAGCCAGCAGGTGTTCCTGGCTCCCGGGCACCCGCAGGACGGGCAGGTGGTCTTCTACAAGGTCAGCAGGAAGCCCCACAGCCCCTCACACTCTGCCCACCCCGCCCCCACCACACTCACACCCCCCCACCCCGTGCCGTGGCAGATCAGCGTGGACCGCGGCCTGAAGTGGGAGGACGCCTTTGCCAAGTCGCTGGCGCTGACGGGCCCCTATGACGGCTTCTACCTCTCCTACAAGGTGGGGTCGGGCGGGGTTACCCCCCCAGAGGAGGGCCCGCGGGGGGCGGACCGGGGCGCGGCCTCAACGCCCCCCTCCGCAGGTCCGCGGTAACAAGCCCAGCTGCCTGCTGGCGGAGCAGAACCGCGGCCAGTTCTTCACGGTGTACAAGCCCAACATCGGCCGGCAGAGCCAGCTGGAGGCCCTGGACAGCCTCCGCCGCAAGTTCCACCGGGTAGGCGGCCGCCGGGCGCAGCTTTCGCTCGGGTTGCCGGCCCTGACCCCGCCCAGGCTCATGCGGCCCTGTGTCCCTAGGTCACCGCGGAGGAGGCCAAGGAGCCCTGGGAGAGTGGCTACGCTTTGTCGCTGACGCACTGCAGCCACAGCGCCTGGTGAGGGCGGGCCGGGGACCAGGGGGAAACCGGCAGATGGCGGCGACCCAGGCGGGGATCGGGGGCTCCCGAGACCCTGAGAGGAGGCGGGAGATCTCAGGGCACCTGGGGAGCCTGCGGGCCCCTGGGACCCGCCTGAGCCGAGACGACCCGTCTCGTCCGCAGGAACCGGCACTGCCGGCTGGCGCAGGAGGGTAAGGACTGCCTGCAGGGGCTGCGGCTGCGGCACCACTACATGCTGTGCGGCGCGCTGCTGCGCGTGTGGGGCCGCATCGCCGCCGTCATGGCCGACGTCAGCAGCAGCAGCTACCTGCAGATCGTGCGGCTGAAGACCAAGGACAGGAAGAAGCAAGTGGGTGAGTGGGCGGCGGGCGCCCCGGGAAGGCCCGAGCCCCCAGCGCCGGCCCTGACCCCGACGCTCTGCCCGCAGGCATCAAGATCCCCGAGGGCTGCGTGCGCCGGGTGCTGCAGGAGCTGCGGCTGATGGATGCGGACGTGAAGCGCAGGCAGGCGCCCGCCCTGGGCTGCCCCGCCCCGCCCGCCCCGCGCCCGCTGGCGCTGCCTTGCGGCCCCGGAGAGGTGCTGGACCTCACCTACAGCCCCCCGGCCGAGGCCTTCCCGCCGCCCCCGCACTTCTCTTTCCCGGCGCCGCTGTCCCTGGACGCCGGCCCCGGCGTCGTGCCGCTGGGCACCCCCGACGCCCAGGCCGACCCTGCGGCCCTCGCGCACCAGGGCTGCGACATCAACTTCAAGGAGGTGCTGGAGGACATGCTGCGCTCGCTGCACGCGGGGCCGCCCTCCGAGGGCGCGCTGGGGGAGGGCGCGGGGGCGGGGGGCGCGGCGGGCGGTGGTCCCGAGCGGCAGAGCGTGATCCAGTTCAGCCCACCCTTCCCCGGCGCCCAGGCTCCTCTCTGACACGCCTTTAGGCGAAACATGCCCCAAGACACAGGGACCGTTTCTCCCCTAGGAGCAGCGGTGGGGAGCAGGGCCAAGGTCCCCTGACCACTGCTCAGAGGAGCCCTAGGCCCTGGCCGCAGTGCCTTCAGCGCCCGACCCGGGCCCCCACCTGGTCAGCCCTGGCGGGGCCCACTCAGGACAGCTGGGGGCCGGGGCGTGGCAGGGCCCTCTCTGTGCCTCTCCTCCCAAGTAGGAAGGGGCTCCGGGTGGCTGCTCTGGGACTGGGCACCCACAAGGGCTCAGTGGGCCCAAACCCTTGAAATCCGTGAAACCGGGTGGTCCCAAGAGCTAGAAACTCAGGAAACCCCAGGTGCTCAGGGCCCCGCGTCTCGGGGGCTCCGTGGGGCAGACCCCTGCTAATATATGCAATTCTCCCTCCCCCAGCCCTTCCCTGACCCCTAAGTTATTGCCCGCTCACCTCTCCCAGGCCCCAGGCCGCGGAGCTGGCAGGGTGGCGCCTGCGGTTTCTATGTATTTATAGCAAGTTCTGATGTACATATGTAAAGGACTTTTTTAAATATATGTGCCTTTTGCCTACTTCCCACGGAGTCTGCTCCTCAGCCTGTGGGACAGGGAGGGAAGGGCAGGGGTGTGTGGGCATCCCCCCAGGCTCTCCTGGTTACCAGGCCTTTCTGCCCACTGCCTGTGCTGGCCCCATGTGGATGAGAGGGGACGAGGGCTGGGAGAGACAGACCTCTCAACCCAGTGTCTGGGGCAGGTGCCATGGACCGTCCATTCCACAGACCCCCAGTGGGGGCAGCTGG
>NT_187622.1:0-61734 GCF_000001405.40 Homo sapiens | reverse complement strand
CCTGGGTTCTGATGGGTTCCCAATTAGGAGGCAGATCTCATCTTTCGGGATCTGTGAGGCTGGCAGACAGATCCAGTGTTCTTTAATATGTAAAGAGTCATTGCAAATCAACAAGGGAGCCTGGGGAACTTGGTGGAACTCCTTCCTGGGTAGGCGGCATGTGTCCTCTCTGTGCTGCAGCAGCCATAATGTGGTCCTGAGCTCAAACCGTGGCATCCGTGCCCATGAGTGAGTCTGCACACTCTTCAGTGCTTACCCTATTTGCTCAGCTGTAAAATGTGGACAAGTCGGCCCTAGCTCAGGCCCTTTCTTCCCCCAGCTCCCGTTCTTCCCTGGTTCCCTGGAAAGAGCATTTATCAAAACCCGCTCGGGGCTCAGGGCTGTTCCTCAGAGCCTGCAGAGAGGTTGAGGGGATGCAGTTCCCTGCTCCAAAACCCTTGGTTTATGCTCCATTTTCCAGGCTCTATTTTTTTTTTTCTTTTTTTTTTTGAGTTGGAGTCTCATTCTGTTGCCCAGGCTGGAGTGCAGTGGTGTGATCTCGGCTCACTGCAACCTCCGCCTCCTGGGTTCAAGCGATTCTCCTTCCTGCCTCAGCCTCCCGAGTAGCTGGGACTACAGGCGCGTGCTGCCACGCCCGGCTAATTTTTTGTATTTTAGTAGAGACGGGGTTTCACCGGTGTTGCCCAGGCTGGTCTCGAACCCCTGAGCTCAGGCAATCTGCCCGCCTCAGCCTCCCAAAGTGCTAGGATTACAGGCGTGAGCCACCGCGCCCGGCTTTGCAGCCTCTCTACTGCAGGGACTCCTTTCATATCCTCTTTTCCATGAGCTTTGGGCTCTGGACCCCACCTCCCCCTGGCCCTCGTACAATGGCAGACCCCAGTGTGAGTGACAGCCCCAGCCCACCACCCTAAGATGCCTCTCTTTGGGACGCCAGGAGCCCCAACCCTTGGTCCCCCACCTGTAGTGCCCCCCTCCCCTGCGCTCCTTGAGGGGCGTGTCAGCCAGGACATGGGCCCAGCTGGGAGGGGCGGGGAGGGGCTGGGAGCAGTGTGGCCAAGGCTGCTGGCTCCTGCTCCCCTGGTGCTCAGGGACTGTGTAACTAAAGAAAGAGTGGCTGGGGGCACGGGCGCTGGATGCCGATTGGCGGGGGCTGACCCCCTGGATGGGCAGCCCCGGCTCTCCACACCCTGCAGAGCAGGAGGCCCCTCCCCCGGCGGGCGTGTCCTGGGCCCTGCCCATGTCTAAGCAGTGCCTGTGCCCCACAGGGCTGGCCCTGGCCTTCCACGACGGCAGCGTCCACATCGTGCACCGGCTCTCACTGCAGACCATGGCCGTCTTCTACAGCTCCGCGGCCCCGAGGCCTGTGGATGAGCCGGCCATGAAGCGCCCCCGCACCGCGGGCCCCGCCGTCCACTTAAAGGCTATGCAGCTATCGTGGACGTCACTGGCCCTGGTGGGGATTGACAGCCACGGGAAGGTGAGCTGCTGGGGCACGTGGGGCCGGGGCTGGTGGGCATTGACAACCACGGGAAGGTGAGCTGCTGGGGCACGTGGGGCTGGGGCTGGTGGGGATTGACAGCCAGGGGAAGGTGAGCTGCTGGGGCACGTGGGGCTGGGCTTGGTGGGCATTGACAACCACGGGAAGGTGAGCTGCTGGGGCACGTGGGGCTGGCCCTGGTGGGGATTGACAGCCAGGGGAAGGTGAGCTGCTGGGGCACGTGGGGCTGGGGCTGGTGGGCATTGACAACCAGGGGAAGGTGAGCTGCTGGGGCACGTGGGGCTGGGCTTGGTGGACATTGACAACCACGGGAAGGTGAGCTGCTGGGGCACGTGGGGCTGGGGCTGGTAGGCATTGACAACCAGGGGAAGGTGAGCTGCTGGGGCATGTGGGGCTGGGCTTGGTGGGCATTGGCAACCAGGGGAAGGTGAGCTGTTGGGGCACGTGGGGCTGGGGCTGGTGGGCATTGACAACCACGGGAAGGCGAGCTGCTGGGGCACGTGGGGCTGGGGCTGGTGGGCATTGACAACCAGGGGAAGGTGAGCTGCTGGGGCACGTGGGGCTGGGCTTGGTGGGCATTGACAACCATGGGAAGGTGAGCTGCTGGGCATTGACAACCAGAGGAAGGCGAGCTGCTGGGGCATGTGGGGCTCGGCTTGGTGGGCATTGACAACCATGGGAAGGTGAGCTGCTGGGCATTGACAACCAGGGGAAGGCGAGCTGCTGGGGCACGTGGGGCTGGGGCTGGGGCTGGGGCTGGTGGGTATTGACAACCAGGGGAAGGCGAGCTGCTGGGGCACGTGGGGCTGGGGCTGGTGGGCATTGACAACCGGGGGAAGGTGAGCTGCTGGGACATGTGGGGCTGGGGCTGGGGCTGGTGGGCATTGATAGCCAGGGGAAGGTGAGCTGCTGGGGCACGTGGAGCTGCGGCCGGGGCCGGGGCTGGTGGACATTGACAACCAGGGAAAGGTGAGCTGCTGGGGCACGTGGGGCTGGGGCTGGGGCTGGGGCTGGTGGGCATTGACAACCAGGGGAAGGTGAGCTGCTGGGGCACGTGGGGCTGGGCTTGGTGGGCATTGACAACCAGGGGAAGGTGAGCTGCTGGGGCACGTGGGGCTGGGGCTGGTGGGCATTGACAGCCAGGGGAAGGTGAGCTGCTGGGGCACGTGGGGCCGGGGCCGGGGCCGGGGCCGGGGCTGGTGGACATTGACAACCAGGGAAAGGTGAGCTGCTGGGGCACGTGGGGCTGGGGCTGGTGGGCATTGACAACCAGGGGAAGGTGAGCTGCTGGGGCACGTGGGGCTGGGGCTGGTGGGGATTGACAGCCAGGGGAAGGTGAGCTGCTGGGGCACGTGGGGCTGGGCTTGGTGGGCATTGACAACCACGGGAAGGTGAGCTGCTGGGGCACGTGGGGCTGGCCCTGGTGGGGATTGACAGCCAGGGGAAGGTGAGCTGCTGGGGCACGTGGGGCTGGGGCTGGTGGGCATTGACAACCAGGGGAAGGTGAGCTGCTGGGGCACGTGGGGCTGGGCTTGGTGGACATTGACAACCACGGGAAGGTGAGCTGCTGGGGCACGTGGGGCTGGGGCTGGTGGGCATTGACAACCAGGGGAAGGTGAGCTGCTGGGGCATGTGGGGCTGGGCTTGGTGGGCATTGGCAACCAGGGGAAGGTGAGCTGTTGGGGCACGTGGGGCTGGGGCTGGTGGGCATTGACAACCACGGGAAGGCGAGCTGCTGGGGCACGTGGGGCTGGGGCTGGTGGGCATTGACAACCAGGGGAAGGTGAGCTGCTGGGGCACGTGGGGCTGGGCTTGGTGGGCATTGACAACCATGGGAAGGTGAGCTGCTGGGCATTGACAACCAGAGGAAGGCGAGCTGCTGGGGCATGTGCGGCTGGGGCTGGTGGGCATTGACAACCAGGGGAAGGTGAGCTGCTGGGGCACGTGGGGCTGGGCTTGGTGGGCATTGACAACCATGGGAAGGTGAGCTGCTGAGCATTGACAACCAGGGGAAGGTGAGTTGCTGGGGCACGTGGCGCTGGGGCTGGGGCTGGTGGGCATTGACAACCAGGGGAAGGCGAGCTGCTGGGGCACGTGGGGCTGGGGCTGGGGCTGGGGCTGGTGGGCGTTGACAACCACGGAAAGGTGAGCTGCTGGGGCACGTGGGGCTGGGGCTGGGGCTGGGGCTGGTGGGCATTGACAACCACGGGAAGGTGAGCTGCTGGGGCACGTGGGGCTGGGGCTGGGACTGGAGCTGGTGGGAATTGACTACCAGGGGAAGGCGAGCTGCTGGGGCATGTGGGGCTGGGCTTGGTGGGCATTGACAAGCACGGGAAGGCGAGCTGCTGGGGCACGTGGGGCTGGGGCTGGGGCTGGGGCTGGTGGGCATTGACAACCAGGGGAAGGTGAGCTGCTGGGGCACGTGGGGCAGGGGCTGGTGGGCATTGACAACCAGGGGAAGGCGAGCTGCTGGGGCACGTGGGGCTGGGCTTGGTGGGCATTGACAACCACGGGAAGGTGAGCTGCTGAGCATTGACAACCAGGGGAAGGCGAGCTGCTGGGGCACGTGGGGCTGGGCTTGGTGGGCATTGACAACCACAGGAAGGTGAGCTGCTGAGCATTGACAACCAGGGAAAGGTGAGCTGCTGGGGCACGTGGGGCTGGGGCTGGGGGGCATTGACAGCCAGGGGAAGGCGAGCTGCTGGGGCACGTGGGGCTGGGGCTGGGGGGCATTGACAGCCAGGGGAAGGCGAGCTGCTGGGGCACGTGGGGCTGGGGCTGGTGGGCATTGACAACCAGGGGAAGGCGAGCTGCTGGGGCACGTGGGTCTGGGGCTGGGGCTGGGGCTGGGAGGGTGCCAGAGGGAGGCGCCCCCGGGGGAAGGGACCACAGGTGCAAGCCCCTCGCCAGCCCCTCGCCAGCCCCTCGCCAGCCCCTCGCCAGCCCCTCGCCAGCCCCTGCCTGCGCTGCCTTGTCTGTGTGATGGGTTCGTCTTGTTGAGCGAGGTCAGTGGGGTGGCCCACAGCACGTATTAGGAGCTTCATAACTAGGAGCTGTTGAGAGGACCGCCTTTCACGGGGTAGACTCCTCAGGTAAAGGAGACGAGTGTAAGCCTGGCTCGGCATCCAGTGCAGTCGGGGCTCAGGGAGGTTTCCTTCCCTGTTCCCAGAGGCATTGTGCATGACCCTGACAGAAAGGTACAGACGCTACAGACACATGCGCGCACACAGGCCCACACACAGGGGCGTGCGCGCACACAGATCCACACACGTGCCGCAGCCCCAGGGCCCCATTCCTCTCCCGGCTGAGGGCGCAGCCCCATCTCACCGGGCTCTCCTTGGGCTCTGTCTCTGGCAGCTGAGCGTGCTCCGCCTCTCACCTTCCATGGGCCACCCGCTGGAGGTGGGGCTGGCGCTGCGGCACCTGCTCTTCCTGCTGGAGTACTGCATGGTGACCGGCTACGACTGGTGGGACATCCTGCTGCACGTGCAGCCCAGTATGGTACAGAGCCTGGTGGAGAAGCTGCACGAGGAGTACACGCGCCAGACCGCTGCCCTGCAGCAGGTGGGGGCCCGTGGCAGGTGGGGCCCCGTGGCAGGTGGGGGCCCTGTGGCAGGTGGGGGCCCCATGGCAGGTGGGGCCCCGTGGCAGGTGGGGGCCCCGTGGCAGGTGGTCCCGTGCCAGGTGGGGCTGTCCCTGTGGCAGGCAGGGGCCCCGTGGTCAGTAAAGTGCCAGCAGCAGGGAGGGAGTTCCCTTGGAGGGTGGAGGAGGTCTCTGCAGCAGTTGTAGAGGTCCCCACGGCAGATGTGGGGGTTGTGGCAGCTGGAGGGGTTTCCCTGCGGCAGGTTGGGGGCTCTATGGCAGGCGGAGGGCAAGAGGGGCAGGTAGCCTGTGGCAGGTGAGGCTGCGTGTGGGGTGTGCTCCCAGAGGCCCGTCCAGGAAAGCTGCACCTCAGAGAAGCAGTTTCCTTCCTTACCTGGGAAGTTTCTTCTGTAACACGTTAAGCCCCACAGGTAAGGCCTGATCCCCCCTGGACGGCTCCCCTCTCCAGTGTTCCCAGTCTGGAGGTATCTTTCTAAGCCATCCTCTCAGAATGTGATGGGTACCAGGATGCACACCCGGTGGCCCTGTGGTGTGAGGCCTCAGCAAACACGGTCAGAAGATGAACACACAGAGACCCGCCCGTCGGAAGGAGAGGAGGGAGCGGATACGGAGGCCCACGTGCCAGAAGGGTCCCTTGCAGTGGTGTGGTTATGTGCCTGCAATCCCAGAGTGTCCTCGAAGGACCTCAGATCTAACGAGCTCAGCCGGCAGCTGCACGTGGGACCAGCCCTCTGAGCTTCACTTGTTTTCCTCTGTGCCATCAGAAACCAATACGAAGATAAAATGGGAAAAAAAAAATCCCATTCACGGCACAGCCTGCCGAGAAACGCGTGAGACCCAGGCGGGGGCTGCGAGGCTAAACCCCAGCGTGGCTGGGATCCGTAGCCAGTGACAGCGCTAGTGATGGCGAGACCTCGCCCTCTCCCTCCTTGGGCCGTCGCTGTGTGCCAAGCGTTTCATTTTTGTTTTTAGTTGTTTCTATTTTTTGTAGAGATGGGGTGTCCTACGTTGCACAGGCTCTCCAACTCCCAGTCTCCAGGAATCCTCCAGCCTCAGCCTCCCAAAATGCTTCAGCTCATTCATTCATTCTCTCTAGACCAGGGTCTCCCCGTAGGCACCACAGACATCGGGGGCTGGAGCAGCCTCTGGGATGGGGGTGTCCTGTTGAGCAGCCTCCCCAGCCTCCACCCGTTACTTGGCAGGGGCACCCCCAGTGGTGACAACTAAAAATATCTCCAGACATCACCAGGGGCCCCCACCAGAGGCAGAGCCGCTCCCAGCTGAGAACCCAGCACCTGGTCCTGTGCGCCTGGTCTTCCGCACCTGTTTTGCCATGAGGTTGCTGAGGTGCAGAGGCGAAGCAGCTTGCCCAGCTGACCGAGCGCCTGGTGTCAGAGTCGAACTGCTCTTCTCCTCAGCTGGAGCCTTGGCGGGCGCCTCTGCTCCGGCCCCTTGGGGTGACCTGGCTTCCTGCCCTCAGGTCCTCTCCACCCGGATCCTGGCCATGAAGGCCTCGCTCTGCAAGCTGTCGCCCTGCACGGTGACTCGCGTGTGCGACTACCACACCAAGCTCTTCCTCATCGCCATCAGCTCCACCCTGAAGTCGCTGCTGCGCCCCCACTTTCTCAACACGCCTGACAAGAGCCCCGGCGACCGGCTGACCGAGATCTGCACCAAGATCACCGACGTCGGTGGGTCCTTTTCCACGCCCGGGGCCTCGAGGTTTCTTTCATCTATTTATTTTATTTTTATTTATTTTTTTTACTCTTTTGAGATAGGGTCTTACTCTGTTGCCCAGGCTGGAGTGCAGTGGTGCGATCTCAGCTCACTGCAGCCTCCGCCTCTCTGGTTCAAGTGATTCTCCTGCCTCAGCCTCCCAAGTAGCTGGGATTACAGGCACGTGCCACCACGCCCGGCTGATTTTTTGTATTTTTAGTAGAGACGGGGTTTCACCATGTTGGCCAGGCTGGTCTCGAACTCTTGACCTCAAATGATCCGCCCGCCTCGGCCTCCTAAAGTGCTGGGATATAGCCTAAAGGCTGGGATTACACCACACCCAGGCTTTTAGAGACGGTCTCACTGTGTCATCCAGGTTGCAGCACGGTGACGCAGTCCCAGCTCAGCGCAGCCTCTGCCTTCTGGGCTCAAGCAATCTCGCCTCAGCCTCTGGAGTAGCTGGGATTACAGACACGTGCCACCACACCCGGTTTTTAATTTTTTGTAGCAACAGGGTCTCACTGTGTTGCCCAGGCTGGTCTTGACCACCTGAGCTCAAGTGATCCTTTCACCTCTCTCTACTCCTGGGGGCTGAGACGCTCCCAGGCCGACACCCGGCACCCGGGTCCTGTGCAGGCAGGTCTGCTCCTCCTTCCGTTTTGCCGTAAGGGGACTGAGGCAGAAAGGCTAAGCAGCTTGCCCAGGCTCACCCAGCACGTGGTGTCCTACTCGCCTCTGCCTCCCAAAGCGCTGGGATTACAGGCGTGAGCCACTGTGCCTGGCAGGCTGTTTCTTTTAAAAATTAGGGTTGCTGGGCGTGGCGACTCGTGTGTAATCCCAGCACTTTGGGAGGCCAACGCGGGCTGATCACGAGGTCAGGAGATCGAGATCATCCTGGCTAACACGGTGAAACCCCGTCTCTACTAAAAATACAAAAATCAGCCGGGCGTGGTGGCGGGCGCCTGTAGTCCCAGCTACTCGGGAGGCTGAGGCAGGAGAATGGCGTGAACCCGGGAGGCGGAGCTTGCAGTGAGCTGAGATCACCCCACTGCACTCCAGCCTGGGCGACAGAGTGAGACTCTGTCTCAAAAAAAAAATTTAGGGTTATCGTTTGTCTGGAGTACCCGGTTGAGTGTGGACACGTGGCACTCCTGGTAGCTGGGAGCCGTGTGCACAGTCATGGTTAGTTCTGTGGGACCACCCTAGTCACCATCCGAGAGGCATCTGTTGGGTGTGTAACCGCCGCCAGCTGCCAGCCGGGGGTGGCTGCAGCTGCACGCTGTGGACATGCCCCTGTGTTCACAGAGTTCACCTCGGAGCAGGGGGCAGATGTGCACCAGCAGGCCGGGCCTGAGCACTGGTGGCCCTGGCATGGGGACCTGCCCACGCCAAGGCCTGCAGGCCGAGAGAAGCTGGTTGGTGCTGAGCACAGCGGCCCCCGGGGGGGGGCAGGCAGTGGGCTCCCAGTTCCTCTCTGTCCGGCAACGCCATCGCCCCCTTCTCGTTCCCGGTGTGGGTCCCCTTGTGTCCTGGTACTGGGTGGGCACTCAGTGCAGGTCGAAGGACCGAGGGGTGCAGTTAGGTCACCCTGTGTGTACAAGAGGCCCGAGCTGACCCGACCCACGTCTCCTTGTAGACATTGACAAGGTCATGATCAACCTCAAGACGGAGGAATTTGTGCTGGACATGAACACACTGCAGGCGCTGCAGCAGCTCTTGCAGTGGGTGGGCGACTTCGTGCTGTACCTGCTGGCCAGCCTACCCAACCAGGTGCGCCATGCTCTCCCCTAAGGCCCCGCCCCCCACCTGGGCCCCCATCTCATCAGGACCCCGCTTCCCTGCCCCTGCCCCTCAAAACCACCTCAGCCCCGCCCCTACTTGGAGTCCCGCCCCTACTTGGAGTCCCGCCCCTGCTTGGAGTCCCACCTCAGCCCCGCCCCTGCTTGGAGTCCCACCCCTACTTGGAGTCCCACTTCCTGAGTCTGTCTCTTCTTAAACCCCCACTTCCTAGCCCTGCCCCACTTCCTAGCCCTGCCCCACTTCCTAGCCCTGCCCCACCTCGGAGCCCTCCCCCACCTCGGAGCCCTGCCCCACCTCGGAGCCCTCCCCCACCTCGGAGCCCTCCCCTCCCTCGGAGCCCTCCCCCACCTCGGAGCCCTCCCCCACCTCGGAGCCCTCCCCCACCTCGGAGCCCTCCCCTCCCTCGGAGCCCTCCCCCACCTCGGAGCCCTCCTCTCCATGAAGCCTCTGCTGTAAGAAGCCTTTCCTTGGCCACACCCTTCCTGCCTATTCTCAAAGCCCCGCCTCCCAGGCCCTGCTCCTTCTCAGCCCCACCCCTACACGAAGGCCGGTTCGCCTTGCTCCTGCTGCTGCTGCCCCCACCCCTTACCCTCCCCAGCTCCCTGCGCCTGGGGTGGGCGGCCTTGAAATCAAGTCTCCATCCACACCTCCACCTTCAGTTCTGCGGCTTGTGCGCCCCTGACCAGGGCTCCAACCTCGCCCCCACCCCCCCGCCGGTACACTCTGTCCTGCCCCAGCTGTGATTTCTTCTGCCCCACCCACCCGGCTTCATCCTGCCCTGGGGCCCGCCCTTCTCCACCGCGCCCATCACGGACGGTTTGAAGTCCCTCTCTTCTTTTTGTGGGGCTTTAGGCTGCCAGGGGCCACCCCTGGGGCCTCCCTTCCCTGGTCCTCTCAGCTCCCAGTACAGTCACCAGGGGCCCGGGCCCGCAGCTGTAGGAGGGGGCGGCTGCTCCTCCACGTGCAGGTGGGGATATTGGCCTCAGCCAGAGCCTCGTCTTAGTCTTGTGGACTCTCAGGGATGGGACGACTCTGCAAATGGGGCTGTCCTGGGCCCTGCAGGGCTCTGAGCAGCGTCCCCGGCATCCACCCACTCGGTGCCAGAAGCACCCCAGTCCTGACCACCACAAATGTCCCAGACCCTGCCCATTGCCCCCCGGTCGGGGTTCCACCGACCCCAAGACACTTCATCCCATCGCCATCTGCCCCCCGCCGCCCCAGCCACACCGATGCCTCTTTCGGGCAGGGTTCCCTGCTGAGGCCGGGCCACAGCTTTCTGCGGGACGGCACCTCGCTGGGCATGCTTCGGGAATTGATGGTGGTCATCCGCATCTGGGGCCTTCTGAAGCCCAGCTGCCTGCCCGTGTATACGGCCACTTCGGATACCCAGGACAGCATGTCCCTGCTCTTCCGCCTGCTCACCAAGCTCTGGATCTGCTGTGAGGCACCCCCGCCCGCCCCTCCCCGCTCCCCTCTCTCCCCGCTCCCCTCTCTCCCCGCTCCCCTCTCTCCCCGCTCCCCTCTCTCCCCTCTCCCCTCTCCCCGCTCTCCCCTCTCCCCGCTCTCCCCTCTCCCCGCCCCTCCCCGCTCCCCTCTCCCCGCCCCTCCCCGCTCCCCTCTCTCCCCGCTCCCCTCTCTTCCCCGCTCCCCTCTCTCCCCGCTCCCCTCTCTCCCCGCTCCCCTCTCTCCCCGCTCCCCTCTCTCCCCGCTCCCCTCTCTCCCCTCTCTCCCCTCTCTCCCCTCTCTCCCCTCTCTCCCCTCTCTCCCCTCTCTCCCGTCTCCCCTCTCTCCCGTCTCCCCTCTCCCCTCTCTCCCCTCTCTCCCCTCTCTCCGCTCCCCTCTCTCCCCTCTCCCCGCTCCCCTCTCTCCCCTCTCCCCGCTCCCCTCTCTCCCCTCTCTCCCCTCTCCCCGCTCCCCGCTCTCCCCTCTCCCCGCTCCCCGCTCTCCCCTCTCCCCTCTCCCCTCTCCCCGCTCCCCGCTCTCCCCTCTCCCCGCTCCCCGCTCTCCCCTCTCCCCGCTCCCCGCTCTCCCCTCTCCCCTCTCCCCGCTCTCCCCTCTCCCCGCTCTCCTTTCTCCCCGCTCTCCCCTCTCCCCTCTCCCCGCTCCCCCCTCTCCCCTCTCCCCGCTCCCCTCTCCCTACCAAAACACAAGTCCTGCCTGAGCCCCCTGCCAGAACATAAGCCCCTGCAGGTGGCAGTGGCTCTGCCTTGATATCTGCTATTTCCCCAGTTCCTAGCACAGGTCCATGCTCTGTGTGGGTGCTTTTGGGATGGCAGCCACTTCCAGGCACCTGTTTGCTGTCTCTCCTTGTCGGGTTGTGTGTATGTGAGGAGGGTGAGCTGTGTCATTCTTACATCCCAGTGTCTGGAAAAGGCACAGTGCTTCCCACATACTTTTTAAGTGAATGAGGGAGTCTCATGACAGGCCAGAGACGGGGAGAGAACCCTGGGGTCACCCAGCCAGGCAGGCAGAGCCGGGGCCCCGACCTGGTGAGAGAACCCCGGGGTCACCCAGCCAGGCAGACAGAGCTGGGGCCCTGACCTGGTGCTCCTGAACTGGAGGGGCTCCCAGCACGTCCCGGGTGGCCGGGCGGTGCCCCAGTCAGGGGTGCTGAGACTTCCGCCACCTCTCTCCGCAGGTCGCGATGAGGGCCCAGCGAGCGAGCCGGACGAGGCGCTGGTGGATGAATGCTGCCTGCTGCCCAGCCAGCTGCTTATCCCCAGCCTGGACTGGCTGCCAGCCAGCGACGGCCTGGTCAGCCGCCTGCAGCCCAAGCAGCCCCTTCGTCTGCAGTTTGGCCGGGCGCCCACGCTGCCTGGCAGTGCTGCCACCCTGCAGCTCGACGGCCTCGCCAGGTGCGTGTGTCCCTGCATTGGTCCCCAAACACAGGACTCCTTCCTCCGTGTCCTGCCCCGGGACCCCCGAATCCACACGGCTCCCTCCCTCCATGTCCTGCCCCAGGTCCCCCCGAATCCACACGGCTCCCCGCCTCCATGTCCTGCCCGGGACCCCCCGAATCCACACGGCTCCCTCCCTCCATGTCCTGCCCCGGGACCCCCCGAATCCACACGGCTCCCTCCCTCCATGTCCTGCCCCGGGTCCCCCCGAATCCACACGGCTCCCTCCCTCCATGTCCTGCCCCAGGACCCCCCCGAATCCATACGGCTCCTTCCCTCCATGTTCTCCAGTCATGGCCATGACTGCTGCTTCCTTCTAGGTGCCCCTAACTCCATCCCCTAGTGGTGTCTTCTGCTGTGTCACGAACCACCCCCAACACGGGCACCCAGCCCTTCCATTCACCCTCTCCCTTTTTTTTTTTTTTTTTGTCTCCCCGACAGGGTCTCACTCTGTTGCCCAGGCTGGAGTGCAGTAGTGCTGTCTTGGCCCACTGCAACGTCTGCCTCTCGGGTTCAAATGATTCTCCTACCTCAGCCTTCCCAGTAGCTGGGATTACAGGCATGAGCCACCACACCTAGGTATTTTTTGTATTTTTGGTATAGAGGCGGTTTTGCAATGTTGGCCAGGCTGGTCTTGAACTCCTGACCTCAGGTGATCCACCTGCCTCGCCCTCCCAAAGTGCTGGGATTACAGGTGTGAGCCACCGCCCCGGCCTTGCCTTGGTGTTTCCTGATTGTGTGTTGGCCTCGCTGTACAGGGCGCCCTGCCTTAGCCTCTGCCCTTAGTCTCTGGCCCCCCTGGATGTCAGGCCTCGCCGTAGATCCCTCTGTGGATGGAGAGAGACGCCTTAGCATATGGCCCAGGGCCCTGCTGAGCAGACACCTCATCAGGAGGATCTCCCGGGGGCAAGAGGTCACCTTGCAGGGCCCGGGGCTGGCCTTTCTCTGGAATGTGCGGGGTTTGGGCAACCCAAGTGTGCTGAGCTGACCCTGGCTGCCCAGCAGCCCTGTGAGGTGGGACCTTGTCACCCCATTTCACGGTGAGGAAACCCAGCCTGGAAAGGGTGGGACCTTGTCACCCCACTCATCTGGGGTCACGCGGTCAGGAAGTGGCCGAGTCAGGATTTGAACCCAGGCCCGTCAGACCCCCAGCCTGTTTCAGACACACGTTTGACAAGGAGCACATGCAAACCCTCTGAGCCACTGATTGCTCAGGGCTGGAATTTTAGAAAACACAGATGAGCAAAAGGAAGAAAATGAAGTGAACCTCCAGCAGCCCTGCTCCGGGGAAGGCCCCGGCTCGGCTCCAGGACCTCCAGGGAAGGCACCCCCGGCTTGGCTCCGGGACCTCCGGGAAGGCGCCCTGGCTTGGCTCTAGGACCTCCAGCATTTTCTTCCTCGTGCTCACTGTGGGAGGGGCCTCCTAATGAGTCACACACGAGGGTTTGGGTTTCAGGAAAAGACTTGATGGAAAGAGAGGACGGTTACGTCAGAGGCTCGTAAACTGGGAAAATTTCAGATATTTAATGAGAGCAGAATAAGCCGGCCCACCCCCACCCAGACCCAGGTCCCCCACCCACCACCGAGGGCAGCTTTTGCCACCAGAATCTTGTCGTTCAGAGGTCCCGGCACCTCCAGGCCGGGTGTCTGGGCAGAGGTGGTGTGGAAGTCCCCATGTACCTGCTTCTGTCCAGCCTCAAATGGGAGCGTCACAAGCACCTTCCCTGCACCTCAGGCTCCCCGGGCACGTGGCGGACCGACCCTCGTCCCTGTGTGGGCCCCGTCCCCTTTACTGGGTCTCTAAGCCTCAAGCTCCCCAGGCACCTGGGAGACCAACCCTCCTCCGTGTGGGGGGTCCCGCCCCCTTTACTGGGCCTGTCTCAGGTGGTCCCGCACCTCCCACCTCACTGTTCACAGACATCTGGGCCCACCTGGCAGATGGTGTGAGGCCGGCCATCCCCTCCACCCCCGCCTGTGGACAGATGCCCCTGCCGGAACCTGGCCTCGTGGTGCCCAGGCCTCCCTCACGTTCTCCCCTCTCCCGCCAGGGCCCCAGGCCAGCCCAAGATCGACCACCTGCGGAGGCTGCACCTTGGCGCTTGCCCCACGGAGGAATGCAAGGCCTGCACCAGGTGAGGGGCCCCCGGAACCGCTGACTCCCAGAGATGTGCCGCTGGGGATGGCTCAGCTGATTCTAGCCCCCACCCAGCGCTCCAGACGGTCAAGGGTGGTGGAGGGAGCACGTCCCAGAGGGAGTGTTGGAGCCAGGATCCCAGGATGTGGAGCAGTTAACTTGGTGTGGCGGGGCTAGTTCAGGGAGCAGCATTGCTGGGGGGAGGAGAAGCATGGGCAGAGGCCCTGTGGCAGGTGGGGACGTGGGGAGCAGGCGTGAGGGACGGCGAGCAGAGGGAGACCTGCCTGGAAGCAAAAGTGGGGCAGGCGTGAGGGAGGCCCGCCTGGAAGTGGGAACCCGCTCAGTGCCTGCCTCCCCGCAGGTGCGGCTGTGTCACCATGCTCAAGTCGCCCAACAGAACCACGGCGGTGAAGCAGTGGGAGCAGCGCTGGATCAAGAATTGCCTGTGCGGTGGGCTCTGGTGGCGGGTGCCCCTCAGCTACCCCTGAGCCCAGCTGCCCCTCAGCTACTCCTCAGCTACCCCTCAGCTGCTCCTGAGCCCGGCTGCTGCAAGAGCCACCGCTCGCCCTGGACTCTCCTCGGCGCGGTTAACCTCAGCCCGCCCTGCAGGGCTGTTGAAGGCCGTGGGCCGGACGCCTGCGTGACCAGCAGAGCTTCTGAGGAAGCCCCTGCCTTTGTCCAGCTGGGCCCGCAGTCCACACACCACTCTCCCAGGACCCCCAGATCCCTGGACCATCTGCATCCAAAGGACCGTCCGTGACGGCCGGGGGTCCAGGCGGACCTTGTGGTGACCCGGCTCGGGCGTCTCCTCGGTTTCCTTGCCTCACCCACGGAGAGCGCTGAACCTGGACAAGCAGCGGCTGGGAAGGACAGGTCCAATAAACGCCCTCTGCGCCCAGGCCCGCGTCCCTGCCGTCGGTGCCCCCGACCCCACCCACGACCTCGATTTGGTGCCGGGAGCCTGTGTCCTCTTGGCCTGTCTTTAAATTCTTCAGCATTTATGGGGCACCTAGTGGATGCCGAGTCTGGGGGTATCCAAAGTGAGCAGTGGGGACAGGACACAGCAGGCCGGTGGATGGGATGGGGCGGCCATCGTCAGGGTGGCTTCTGTCCAGGCATCTGCCTTTCAGTGTGTTGTCTGCCTGTCTCTATACTGTCTCTGCGTGCTCTCCTTGTTTCTGCGTGTCTCTGGTATCTCTGCACTTCTCTGTGTATGGTCTCTGTGTCTCTGCATGCTGTTTCTGTGTCTCTGCCTGACTCTGTCCCTGTTATGTTTCTCCAGCTGCTCTCTGCTGGAGGTTGCTTAGCCCCTGGGCCAAGTTTCTGCCGTTTCTGTTGCTGTCCCCAGGGGTCCCGCCTTCCGTCTCCAGCAGGCCTTCCCAGCACAGTGGTGCCCCTGCTGTGTGCCGACGGACTCCTCCTTTCTGCAGCTCTGGGGAGGGCAGCGAGGGTGGGGTGAGTGCCCAGTGCCGGCTCGCGAGGCGGGAGCTCAGGCACCCCGTCACCTGGCTGAGGCACTCCCACTTTAAGGCCCCCCCACTTTAAGGCCCCCGTCCTCGGCCGCAGACTCCAAGCTCTGCTGGGACACCGAGCCCCGTCTCACCGTCCCCCTGGCCATCCTCTGAGGGACAGACCCTAGGGCAGCTCCCGGCCCCACTCCTGCGACCTCCTCTCGAGCTCAGGAGTGTGTGGGCCTCCATCTCCCCCAGTCACTCAGCATGTGTGGGGCGCCTTGTGGATGCCAGGGGTGTCCAAAGCAAGTGACAGACAGAACACAGTGGGCCCTGGCGGGTGGTTGGGGGCCCAGCCGCCACGGGGGTGGCTTTTGTCCGGGTGTCTGCGGCGTTTCCATGTGGCTCTGCAGAGACCAGAGTGCAGGAGCGCTGGCGAGGGTGCGGGCCCGCAGTGGGTGGACGGAGAGGAGATGGGAGCGCTGGCGAGGGGTGCGGGCCCGCAGTGGGCGGACGGAGAGGAGATGGGAGCGCTGGTGAGGGGTGTGGGCCCGCGGCGGGTGGACGGGGAGGACATGGGAGCGCTGGCGAGGGGTGCAGGCCCGTGGCGGGCGGACGGGGAGGACATGGGAGCGCTGGCGAGGGGTGCGGGCCCGCAGTGGGTGGACGGAGAGGAGATGGGAGCGCTGGCGAGGGGTGCGGGCCTGCGGCGGGTGGACGGGGAGGACATGGGAGCGCTGGCGAGGGGTGCGGGCCTGCGGTGGGTGGACAGGGAGGAGATGGGAGCGCTGGCGAGGGGTGCAGGCCCGCGGCGGGTGGACGGGGAGGACATGGGAGCGCTGGCGAGGGGTGCAGGCCCGTGGCGGGCGGACGGGGAGGAGATGGGAGCGCTGGTGAGGGGTGCGGGCCTGCGGTGGGTGGACAGGGAGGAGATGGGAGCGCTGGCGAGGGGTGCAGGCCCGTGGCGGGCGGACGGGGAGGAGATGGGAGCGCTGGCGAGGGGTGCAGGCCCGTGGCGGGCGGACGGGGAGGAGATGGGAGCGCTGGTGAGGGGTGCGGGCCTGCGGTGGGTGGACAGGGAGGAGATGGGAGCGCTGGCGAGGGGTGCAGGCCCGTGGCGGGCGGACGGGGAGGAGATGGGAGCGCTGGCGAGGGGTGCGGGCCCGCGATGGGTGGACGGGGAGGAGATGGGAGCGCTGGTGAGGGTGCCCATGCGTTGTGGGACGCAGGCTCGTGGGCAGCTTCAGGGGCCGGGAGATCAGAGTCACCCAGTGCCCGACTCAGAAGTGAAAATGCCTCTAGCTGACCCCAGCCCCCCGTGGTTCTGGTGACCTGGCTGAGGTCTGGACGCGTGGAGTGGGGACAGGATGCCCCCTGGTCCCATCAGTTCCTGACCACTTCAGCCGGGGTGGGCTTTGCGTCACTAGGTGGGGGGGGGGGGTCTGTCAGACCACTGTCACAAGCTGGCTGCCATGAGCTTCTACCTCACTCAGGTACAGTGGGGTGGGCGAGGCAGGCAGGGCATGGGGGTGCTGAGAGGCGGCCTGTGGCCCTGAAGCTCTGCTGTCCCTGCCCCCGGCTTCCCAAGGTCCTCGTCGCCTCGCGGTTCCCCCAGGGGTCCTCAAAATCTCCCTAAGAGCCAGGGACGTTGGGGCCCCGAGATACAGATGAGGAAACAGAGGCCATATATATGGCAGTGCGGAGACTGGACCGCGTCTCAACTCAGAGGACTATGTGGTGCCCAGATGTTCCCGTCCTGCATCCTCCCCACCACTCCTGTTCCACCGCCTCCTAAACCGTCTCCTCCTCCGGAACCCTCCGTAGCTCCTGCGGACCAAAGGATGCAAAGATGCCCAGGCAGGCCGGATGCAGCAGCTCACGCGCCAGCACCATAAGAGACCCAGGCAGGAGGATCACTTGAGCCTGGGAGTTCAAGACCAACCTGGGGCAACATGGCGAGACCTCATCTCTACAAAAATCTTAAAAATTAGCTGGGTGGCCAGGCGAGGTGGCTCATGCCTGTAACTCCAGCACTTTGGGAGGCCGAGGGGGGGCGGATCACCTGAGGTCGGAAGTTCGAGACCAGCCTGACCAACATGGAGAAACCCCGTCTCTACTAAAAATGCAAAATTAGCCGGGCGTGGTGGCGCATGCCTGTAATCCCAGCTACTCGGGAGGCTGAGGCAGGAGAATCGCTTGAACCATCAGGCAGAGGTTGCAGTGAGCCGAGATCGTGCCATTGCACTCCAGCCTGGGCGACGAGAGAGACTCCGTCTCAAAAACAACAAAAACAAAAACGTGAAATTCACACAGTGAGCTCCAACTTCGTGGTGGTCACCAGACAGCTGAATGGGCCCCCTTCCGTGCAGTGCAGTATTTACCAAATTCCTAAGAGCAGGGCTGGGGCTTAGATGTGTCTTACCGTGCCCGGCCCAGGGCTCTGCACACAGTAAGTGCTCAATACGTGCTTGCACGTCAGTGTGATTCCTAGGTGAGTGTTCCATAGCCCCAAAAACACCCAAGCACAGTGTTCATCAATCCATCCCCCCTTTTCCCAGCGGACCTGCCTCTCAGATCATCAGTCTTTTTTTTTTTTTTGAGATGGAATCTCGCTCTGTCACCCAGGCTGCAGTGTAGTGGTGTGATCTCCACTCACTGCAACCTCCACCTCCCGGGTTCACGCCATTCTGCCTCAGCGTCCCGAGCAGCTGGGACTACAGGTGCCTGCCACCACGCCCGGCTAATTTTTTGTATTTTTAGTAGAGACGGGGTTTCACCGTGTTAACCAGGATGGTCTCAATCTCCTGACCTTCTGATCCGCCCGCCTCGGCCTCCCAAAGTGCTGGGATTACAGGCATGAGCCACCGGCACCCGGCCCATCAGTCACTTTTTCTTTTCTCTTTTTTTTTTTTTTTCTTTCTTTTTGAGATGGAGTCTCCTTCTGTTGCCCAGGTTGAAATGCAGTGGTGCTATCTCGGCTCACTGCAAGCTTCACCTCCTGGATTCAAGCTATTCTCCTGCCTCAGCCTCCCAAGTAGCTGGGACTACAGGCATCCGCCACCACGCCCGGCTAATTTTTTTGTATTTTTAGTGGAGATGGGATTTCACCGTGTTGGCCAGGATGGTCTCAATCTCCTGACCTTGTGATCTGCCCGCCTCGGCCTCCCAAAGTGCTGGGATTACAGGCATGAGCCACCGCGCCTGGCCCATCAGTCTCTTTTTCTACGATAGCGCCTGGCTGCCCCTCCACCAGGTGGGAGAAAGGGCACAGGGCCTCAGGTGTCCTCCCTGGCCTTGCCAAGAAGGGTGACCTGAGGTCCAGGGCCTCCAGCAAGCAGGTGCCGCTGCTCGTCGTCCTGGTGTGGGTCTGGCCGCACCCAGGGTGGTTTGTGAAGGCAGGCTCCGTGGCTCTGGGCTCCAGTCCAGGCTGTGTCCTGGAGCTTCTGTGTAAGGTCAGGAGAGTCGCACAGTCCCTGTGAGCCTCAGTTTCCCCTTATGGGATATGGGTCATAGGAACACGGCCTCGAAGGGTTTCTGTGCACCTGAGTCTCAGCCCACAGCCTTGCACACAGAAGACGCTCACATTCCCCTTGGTAAGCAAAGGGAAACGGTATGAGCCAGACCAGGAGGGGACACCCATGCCTGGCGGGCCTTCGCGCGCGCGTGTGTGTGTGTGTGTGTGTGTGTGTGTGTGTGTGTGTGTGTGTGTGTGTGGCAAGGGCGCCGCCGTGTGGCCGCGTCAGCCCCACGGAAGCGCTGGACCCGGAACTTCGCTGTATTCTCCGTTCTTGTGCTTTTATCTGTAGCTTCCCGCGTTCCTCTTTTTTTAATGTTTCTGTTTTTGTTTTGAGACAGAGTCTCGCTCTGTCACCCAGGTCGGAGTACAGTGGTGCGATCTCAGCTCACTGCAACCTCCGCCTCCCGGGTTCAAGCTATCCTCCTGCCTCAGCCTCCTGAGTAGCTGGGGCTACAGGTGCCCACCACCACGCTCAGCTAATTTTTTTTTGTATTTTTAGTAGACACGGGGTTTCACCATGTTGGTCAGGCTGATCAGGAACTCCTGACCTCAAATGATCCGCCCGCCTCGGCCTCCCAAAGTGCTGGGATTACAGGCGTGAGCCACCACGCAGAATTTTTTTTTTTTTTTTGTAGAGAGAGACAAGGTTTCACTCTGTTGCCCAGGCTGGAGGGCAGTGGTGCAATCACAACTCACTGCAGCCTCAGCCTCCTGCGTTCAAGTCATCCTCCCACCTCAGCCTCCTGAGTAGCTGGAACTACAAGCACCCACCTCCATGCCCGCCAATTGCCCAGCTAATTTTTTATTTATTTGTAGAGATGGAGTCGCGCTACGTGGCCCATGCTGATCTCGAACTCCTGAGATCCAATGATCCTCCCACCTCGGCCTCCCCTTCTGCATATAGTAGGTGCTCAATAAAGACCAACCAGATGCAGGAGTGGATGACTTCATTGCTCGGGACTTTGTTGCTTGGGTGACCCTGACCTTCAGGCCCCGGCACCCTAGGCCAGGACGCTGTCGATCCAGGCCGCATAGCTCGCCACGCGGGTGTAGATCCCGGGCTTCTTGCGGTTGCCGCAAACGCGCGAGCCCGAGGTGACCACGCCCTCGAGCACGCCCCCGCACACCAGCGGGCCCCCGGAGTCACCCTGCCGGAACAGGACGGGGCCGTGAGGGGCGGCCCGCGCCCACCCCGGCCTCACGTGTTAGACCCCCTCACCTGGCTGCCGCTCCCGCCCCACAATGCTCGCTCATCCCTCCCGTGTTAATTTGGTCTTCACTAGTCAATAGCCCCGCGCCACGCCTATCGCCTAGGCCACAACCACAAACCACGCCCCTCTAGGCCCGCCCCCAGCTCCTGGCCACACCCCCTCTGGCCTCAACCTCACCACGTGTTCCCCCGACCCCACCCCGCTCCAAGCCCTTTCCAGTATGGGGTCCCACACCTCATTCCTGCTCTTCCAAGCTTTGACTTGCCGTGGATCCCACTTCTGCCCTAACGCGTCTCAGTGGCCACCTGCTCTGCTCAGTCCCCACTCACCTCAGGCCACGCCCCTCCCTTAGAGCCCCACCCAATCTTGGCCCCGGCTACCATGCAAGCCTCGGCTGGTCTTAAACCTCTGCCCTGCTCAGGACCCCTTCTCTTCCCTGCCACAGCAGGGATCCCGCTCCGCACCAGCCCTGCCCCTTCAGAGGTTCCCGCCCCTTCCACCTGCCCCGCCCCGTCCCCATGCCCCGCCCCTTCCTCCACGTGCCCGCCCCCTATACCTCCCACCCTTTCTCTGCCACCTGCCCTTTTGCCCGCCCTGACCCTTCTCCAGCCCCACCCTCCCCACAGGTACCGCCCCTTCCTCCATGCCCTGCCCCTCATGTCCCAACCCTCTTCCTGGCCTCGCCCCCTTGCAGTCCCGCTATTACTGGACTCCGCCCCCTCCTCGAGCCCCGCCCCCTATTCCCACCCTAACCCACAGGTCCTTCCACATCCCACCCGTTCCTGCCCTTTCTGCCCGCCCTGACCCTTCTTCAGCCCCACCCTCTCCAGAGGCCCCGTACCTTCTCCAGGCCTCGCCCCCAAGGCCCCACCCTACCCACATGCCCCGCCCCCTCATACAGGCCCCGCCCACGGGCCACCCTCATGCTCCGCCCATCTTCCAGTTCCCGCCCCCTACGCGCCCCGCCCCTTCCCTGGGCCCTGTTCCTACTTGCCCCCCGCTTCCCGCTCCCTCTGCAGGCCCTTCCCGGGGCCTGCAGGCCCCGCGTCTCCTCCCAGGCCTGAAGGCTCACCTTGCAGCTGTCCCGGCGATTGCTCTCCGCGCACATCAAGCGCTCGGTGATGGCGCCGTCGTGGTGCGTGCGCCGGTTGCAGGTGGCGCGGTCCAGCACTGGCAAGAGCACGTGCTGCAGGCTGTCCGGGCGGCGGCCCGCGTGGTTGACTATGCCCCAGCCGGCCACGTCGCAGAGAGTTCCCGGTGCCACGTCGCGGTCCACGCGCTGCCAGGGCAGGGGGCGCACAGCAGGGCCCAGTGTGGCCTTCTCCGACAGCTGAGGGTGGAGGCGGACGTCAGGGTTGGGGTGCGGGGGTGCGAGGCTGGGGAGAATGCCGCTAGGCTCGGGGAGACGGGACGGGGGAGGTGGGCATCAGGGCAGGGGCGTGGGTCTCAGTGCAGCAGGAGAGATTTAGGCTAGACCCTGGGTGGGGGTGCAGGTGGGGATGGGGTGGGTGCGAGGCTCACCAGTGCAGCTGCAAAGGTCGAGGCTGGAACCGGGATGGGGATGCAGGGGGAGCGGGGGGTGGGGGGCTCCCAGTGCAGCCGCAGAGGTCGAGGCTAGACCCGGGGTGAGGGTGCGGGGGTTGTAGGGCGGGGTCCCCATGCAGCAGGAGAGGTCGAGGCTGGACCCGGGGTGAGGGTGCAGGGGGTGGGGGGGCTCCGAGCGCAGCAAGAGAGGTCGAGGCTAGACCCGGGGTGAGGGTGTGGGGGTTGTGGGGCGGGGTCCCCATGCAGCAGGAGAGTTCGAGGCTGGACCCGGGGTGAGGGTGCAGAGGGTGGGGGGGCTCCGAGCGCAGCAAGAGAGGTCGAGGCTACACCCGGGGTGAGGGTGTGGGGGTTGTGGGGCGGGGTCCCCATGCAGCAGGAGAGTTCGAGGCTGGACCCGGGGCGCGGTGTAGGCGGGGTGGAGTGAGGGTGGGCCGGGGATCCCAGCGCCGCAGGAGGGACTGCGCTACACGGGGCCGACCTGTAGCAGCAGGAGGTCGTGGTCGATGGTGTCGGGCTGGCTGTCCGGGTGGGGCACTGCGCGGAGCACGTCGTACAGGCGCTTGGAGGGCTCCGGCTGCGACAGG
Source organism: Homo sapiens (assembly GCF_000001405.40). Lineage (NCBI taxonomy): Eukaryota > Metazoa > Chordata > Mammalia > Primates > Hominidae > Homo > Homo sapiens. Next base: position 39,778 of record NT_187622.1, on the reverse strand, counting down.
GAGTGCGCGCCCAGGAGAACCTGCACCTTCCCGTCGGCCCTGGGGACGGGACGGAGTCCGCGGTCGGTGCCAGCCGACTCCCCCCACCGCACCCGGGCTCTTCCCCCGCGCGGCGCGGGCACTCACGCGTCCTCCAGGCAGTGCGCCGCGCTCAGCACCCACTGCTCCGCCACCAGGACGCCGCCGCACAGGTGCGCGCCGTTCAGCTGCACCGACGCCATGTAGGGCCGCGCGTGCGCCTCGGCCTCTCTGCCGCCCAGGATCCGACCACGGGGCGGCGCCGCTGTGGGTGGGCGGGCGCGTGAGGGCCGCGGGGTGGACTCCTCCCCCGGGCGAGGCTGCCTGACGGGATCCCAGCTCTCACCCCCCAGGCCGCTCCCCGCAAGAATCCCATCTCTGGGCGCGGTGGCTCACGCCTGTAATCCCAGCACTTTGTGAAGCCGCGCGGGGGCGGGGGGGGGGGGGGGGTGCAGATCATGAGGTCAGGAGTTCAAGACCAGCCTGGCCAATATGGTGAAACCCCGTCTCTACTTTAAAAAAAAATACAAAATTTAGTCGGCGTGGCCTATAATCTCAGCTATTCGGAAGGCTGAGGCAGGAGAATCGCTTGAACCCGGGAGTCGGAGTTTGCAGTGAGCCGAGATCGCACCACTGCACTCCAGCCTGGACGACAGAGCGAGACTCCCTATCAAAAAAAAAAAGAAAGAAAAAAAAGAATCCCGTTTCCGTCTTGGGGCCCCTCAGCGTTGCAAACTCAGATACCCTCGGGCGGGAATGCCCCAGAGTACAGAACCCACAGTGGGCTGGGGACCGGGGGCAGATCCCAGCGCCCTACCCTGGGCGCAGTGCCTTCCAGTTGGACATAAGAGAAATGGGGCTGACCCAGCCAGTGCCTGGGCCAGCCCAGTCAGCCACGCAGATGAAGTTTTCCACGCAGACGTTCAGACTCTGTCTGCAAGAAAAGCTGACTCCAGAAAGTTCCGATTTCCAATCTGAATTTTCTAGAATTTTTCAGCGTTCAGAGCCTTCCATTAGTGAGGAGAGACACCCCCTTCCTGCCCACCTGGAGGGGCTGGAGGACCGTCCGTGTGACGGAAGGGAGCACCACGCCCCTACACAGCCCTGTCCCTCACCCCAGGCCCAGGCCTCCTCACCGCAGGCGGCCGCTCCTAGGAGGACCAGAACTGCCAGGCGCTCCCAGCTGTGCATGGTGAAGCCGCTGTGGCTGAGACACTGACCCAGGCAGGGCCCTGGGGGTGCTTTTATGAGGGTGGAGGGGGCGGGCCGCTCCCCGGGTGGGCAGCGGCCCAGCTGGGGAAAGGGGAACTCGCCCGCCCAGCCTCCGCCCTCCCCGGGACTGGGTTACCTCCTGCCAGACTCACACCAGAGTCGACAAGTCGCTGGGAGACCCTCGGGCCTCTGTGAGCCTGACAGCCTGCTGGCCCTGGTGGGGGGCAGTCCCTCAGATGGGCAGGAGGCAGAGAGGGGGGCTGCACCCACCCCGGCCCCAACTTCACCACACCCAGAGTCCCCCAGGGTGTTTCACAATCCTAGCTGGAGGCCACAGCGTGTAAACAACCCACTTTCTTGTCCTGCTACCCTCCCTTCTTTTCCTCCTCTATATTAGAGAGAAGGTCTGTTGGGGGTAGGAAGGTCACTTGACACCTTTGTCTCTGTCCCTGTGGCCTCTGGGGCTTGACACCCTGACGAATAGAAAGTTGGAAAGGCCAAGGCAGAGGCAGCTGGGAAGACTGGCTACAAGGGACAGGAAAACCCAGACAAACTGGGTGGAGCCTGAATCATGAAAGTTATATGGAAAGTTCAGGGATGTCCGCCTTCAGGTGTGGCTTGATCCAGGTGCCTGAACAATGTCCAGTGTCTGCTTCTGGCTTCTCCTTTCTTCTCTGATGGCTTCTTTCCTCACCAGCCTCCCCTGGTGTGTTTCCAGGGACCCCACACTCAACCCAGTGGCTCAGTGGGCCCCTCCTAAAATTCTTCCTCACTCCAGCCAAGTCTCAAGGGTGCCTTGGGTTGGTGGAGCCTGGATCACACGCCCCCTCCCAAACTGTTCACTGAGGGCAGGTTCTGATGAACAGAGTCAGGGCTGGCCGGGCACAGTGGCTCCCACCTACCATCCCGGCACATTGAGAGACCCAGATAGGAGCATCTCTTGAACCCAGGAATTCAAGGCCAGCTTGGGGAAGACGGCGAGACCCCATCTCTACAAAAAAATTAAAATAAAATACTTCTCAGAATCTGGGCCATAGGGCCTTTTGTGAGGTGGGGATTTGTGTGTGTTGTTTTTGTTTTATTACAGACAGGGTCTTGCTCTTTCATCCAGGCTCGAGTGCAGCGGTGCAATCATAGCTCACTGCAGCCTCCTCGACCTCCGGGGCTCAAGTGATCCTCCCACCTCAGCCTCCAGAAGTGCTGGGACTGCAGGCCTGCTCATGGTGTAGCTCCATTTTTCACATCTGCCCCACAGGGGCCAGCGGGATTCACGTTGCATTAATCCATGGTGCAGGGACCAGAAGGATGGGGATACCTTGTGGGGAGGACCTCAGACATTGTCCCCAGGGGGAGCAGCACACGAGGTTCCCCCGGCTTTTCTCTTCACCATGGATCATTTCTTTCTTTTCTTTCCTTTTTTTTTTTTTTTTGAGACGGAGTCTCGCTCTGTCGCCCAGGCTGGAGTGCAGTGGCGCGATCTCAGCTCACTGCAAGCTCCGCCTCCCGGGTTCACACCATTCTCCTGCCTCAGCCTCCGGAGTAGCTGGGACTACAGGCGTCCGCCACCACGCCCGGATAATTTTTTGTATTTTTAGTAGAGATGGGTTTCACCGTGTTAGCCAGGATGGTCTCGATCTCCCGACCTCGTGATCCGCCTGCCTCGGCCTCCCAAAGTGCTGTGATTACAGGTGTGAGCCACCACGCCTAGCCTCATTTCCTTCCTTCCTTTCTCTGTTTTTCTCTTTCTTTCCCTTTCTTTTTCTTTCTTTCTTTCTCTTTCCTTCTTTTTTTCTTTCTTTCTTGCTTTTTTTTTTTTTTTGCGACAGAGTCTTGCTCTGTCGTCCAGGCTGGAGTGCAGTGGCACAATCTCGGCTCACTGCGACCTCCACCTCCCGGGTTCAAGCGATTCTACTGCCTCAGCTTCCCGAGTAGCTGGGATTACACGCATGAGCAACCACACTGGGCTAACTTTTTGTATTTTTAGTAGAGACAGGGTTTTGCCATGTTGGCCAGGCTGGTCTCGAACCTCTGACCTCAGGTGATCCGCCCACCTCGGCCTCCCAAAGTGCTGGGATTACAGGCATGAGCCACCATGCCTGGCCCCCTGTGGATTATTTCATACGCACAGAGAATAGAAAATGATATAACAACAGGGCTGGGCGTGGTGACTACGCCTGTAATCCCAGCACTTTGGGAGGTCAAGGCGGGCGGATCACGAGTTCAGGAGATCGAGACCATCCTGGCTAACACGGTGAAACCCCGTCTCTACTAAAAATACAAAAAATGAGCCGGGCGTGGTGGCGGGCGCCTGTAGTCCCAGCTACTCAGGAGGCTGAGGCAGGAGAATGGCGTGAACCCGGGAGGCGGAGCTTGCAGTGAGCTGAGATCGCGCCACTGCACTCCAGCCTGGGCGACAGAGCGAGACTCCATCTAAAAACAAAAAAGAAAAAAATACAATGTGGGGAAGTCACTTCTGCTCCATTGCCCTGGCTGTGCTGCCCCCTGGTGGTGGCTTACTCCAGAGATGCCCAAGAGACTCTGGATTCTAGTTTGTTGTTTATTATTATTATTATCATTATTATTTATATTTATTTATTTATTTATTTATTTATTTATTTATTTATTTATTTTTGAGATGGAGTTTCGCTCTTGTTGCCCAGGCTGGAGTGCAATGGAGCGATCTTGGCTCACTGCAACCTCCACCTTCCAGAATTCAGGTGATTCTCCTGCCTCAGGCTTCCCGAGTAGCTGGGATTACAGGCATGCACCACCACGCCCGGCTAATTTTGTATTTTTAGTAGATATGGGGTTTCTCCATGTTGGTCAGGCTGGTCTCGAACTTTAGACCTCAGATGATCCGCCTGCCTGGGCCTCCCAAAGAGCTGGGATTACAGGCACGAGCCACCGCACCGGTATTTTTTTTTTTTTTTTTTTTTTTGAGACGGAGTCTCTCTGTGTTGCCCAGGCTGGAGTGCAGTGGCGTAATCTCGGCTCACTACAGCCTTCGCCTCGCAGGTTCAAGCGATTCTCCTGCCTCAGCCTCCCACGCGCCACGACGCCAAGCTAATTTTTTTTGTATTTATAGTAGAGATGGGGTTTCACCACGTTGGCAGACTAGTCTTGAACTCCCGACCTCAGGTGATCTGCCAGCCTCGGCCTCCCAAAGTGCTGGGATTGCAGGCGTAAGCCACTGGGCCAGGCTTGGACCATTTTATTTTATTTTATTTTATTTATTTATTTTTTTTTAATGGAGCGGGGGTTTTGCCATGTTGCCCAGGCTGGTCTTGAACTCCTGAGCTCAAGTGATCCGCCTGCCTCAACCTCCCAAAGTGCTGGGATTACAGGTGTGAGCCACCACGCCCGACCTACTGACCATTTTCAACACCCAATCACACAGCCAAGGAGCATCAAACACATTCTACAAAACAGAGAATGTTTATTGTGCCAGATGCTGGAGAGTGTGGGTGTGGGCAGCTGAGGTGACCCGGGCAGCCCTTCTCAGTGGGTCCTGCTGGCCGGGTCCGGGTCCCGGGGGTGGGGACAGGGGTTGTCCTCGGAGCGTTGGATGATAGAGTCGATCCAGTTTACAAACTGTGCCACCGGGGCAAAGGCATCGGGGTAGAGCCCTGAGGCGCAGCCTCCCCGGACGAAGGAGGCAATTCCGTGGATTAGCCCGTTGCAGACCAAGGGGCTGCCGGAGTCCCCCTGTGGAGGCAGACAAGGTGGGGAAGCTGGACTGCGAGGCCCTGCCCACCTGCCCGCCGCCTGTCAGGGTTGGGAAGTCCCTCCTAGGGTCTAGCCACGGTGCCTGTTGCTGCAGTCCGGGCTGGGAGCGGGTGGGGAGCAGAGGGACACCCAGGGCACGTACGAAACAGACGCCGGCCTGCCGGCCCCTCACGAGAGTGCAGACGTTGCTGCGACGGCAGAGGGACGTCACCACCGTCACGTTGAGCTCCTGCAGGACGCTGGCGATCCCACGGTTCCTGCCCAGAAGGCCCCAGCCCATGGCCAGGCACTGCACCCCGTTGCCCAGGCGGCGTCCCTGAGCCGGCAGCTGGGCCACCTGCACGTTGGCGTTGATGGTGGCCGACCCGTTGAGCTGTGGCGGTGGGGACAGATCGTCAGCGCGTCACACGGGGCAGTGATGATGACCCTCCCCTCTCCGGGCCTCAGTTTCCCCATCTCAGGTTCCACTGTGGTTCTGGGATCCTGCAGGGCAGGATACCCACCCCACACTCTGCTCCCCAAGGCAAGCCTCGGTTTCCCCATCTGTAGAGTGGGAGCCGTCACCAAGGCTCAGGGCGTTGGAGGTTGTCCCTGGATGTGGCTTGAGTGCAGGAAGCAGTAGGTGCTCAGTTAACAAAAAAACTACAGCCGGGCGCGGTGGCTCATGCTTGTAAGCCCAGCACTTTGGGAGGGCGAGGCAGGAGGATCACTTGAGGCCAGGCATTCAAGACCAGCCTGGGCAATGTGGCAAAGCCCCATGTCTACAAAAATAATTAAAAAAAATTGCCAGGTGCGGTGGCTCACGCCTATAATCCCAGCATTTTGGGAGGCTGAGGTGGGCCAATCAAAAGGTCAGGAGATCAAGACCATCCTGGCTAACATGGTTAAACCCCGTCTCTACTAACAATACCAAAAATTAGCCAGGCGTGGTGGCGGGCGCCTGTAGTCCCAGCTACCTGGGAGGCTGAGGCAGGAGAATCGCTTGAACCTGGGAGGCGGAGGTTGCAGTGAGCTGAGATTGTGCCACTGCGCTCCAGCCTGGGCGACAGAGCGAGACTTGTCTCAAAAAATATATATATATGTGTGTATATATATATTTTTATTATTTTATAAAAATATTTTTATATATTTTATATTTATTATTTTATAAAATAATAAATATTATAATTATAAATGATATTTATAATTATATAAATATTATTATAATTATAAAATAATTATAAATATTATATATTTTATTTAAATAAAATATATATTTATTATTTATAATATATGTATGTGTGTGTGTATATATATATATTAGCCAGACGTGGTGGACCCACGTGGTGGCACCTGTGGTTCCAGCTACCCCCCATTCCAAGCTGAGAGGGTGGCTTGAGCCCAGGAGATGGAGGCTGTAGTGAGCTGCGATCGCGCCACTGCACTGGGTGAGAGCTATGAGAAAACTTAGTGACAAGGAAACTCTCCCTCTAACCCTTCCCAGGGAGGAATCTTTTTTTTTTTTTTTGAGACCCAGGCTGGAGTGCAGTGGTGTGATCTCAGCTCACTGCAATCTCCGCCTCCGGGGTTCAAGCGATTCTCCTTCCTCAGCCTCCTGAGTAGTTGGCATTACAGGCACCCACAACCACACTCGGCTAATTTTTTTTTTTTGTATTTTAGTAGAGACGGGGTTTCACTATGTTGCTCAGGCTGGTCTCGAACACCTGACCTCGTGATCCACCCGCCTCAGCCTCCCAAAGTGCTGGGATGACAGGCCTGAGCCACGGGGCCCGGCGCCCAGGAAATAACCAGAACTGCAAGCCGCGGACAGGGGTGGAAAGGTGGGGACTTTTGCCCCTTTTCCCAAAGACAGAGGCGGCCCCTGCCCTGGGCCACAGGACTGGTGAATGGAGAGACACAAAGAATCTCAGTAAGTTTGTTGATTGACAGCAGATCGGGGCCTCCCTTCTCAGTAAGTTTGTTGATTGACAACAGATCGGGGCCTCCCTTCTCAGTAAGTTTGTTGATTGACAGCAGATCGGGGCCTCCCTTCTCAGTAAGTTTGTTGATTGACAACAGATCGGGGCCTCCCTTCTCAGTAAGTTTGTTGATTGACAGCAGATCGGGGCCTCCCTTCTCAGTAAGTTTGTTGATTGACAGCAGATCGGGGCCTCCCTTCTCAGTAAGTTTGTTGATTGACAGCAGATCGGGGCCTCCCTTCTCAGTAAGTTTGTTGATTGACAACAGATCGGGGCCTCCCTTCTCAGTAAGTTTGTTGATTGACAACAGATCGGGGCCTCCCTTCTCAGTAAGTTTGTTGATTGACAGCAGATCGGGGCCTCCCTGCAGGATCTCATTTAACCCCTCAACGGCCCATGGCGGGTATTTTCCCGTTTCACAGAGGTGCAGACCGAGGCGCGGAGAGGGGACCACCCAGCCCACGATGCCACCCCAGGTCCCCACGAGCGGCCCCGACGCGCCCCTCCGTCGCAGCCTCCACCCTCCCCAGGCCTCTGGCCTCCGCCCCTGCGCCCCCCGCCCCGCCCGGCGGCACCTGGAGAATCACGATGTCGTTGAGCAAGTTTACGGGGTCGTAGCCGTTTTCGAAGATGCGCTGCACGGCGAACACCTGCCGGGTGGGCTCCCGCCGCGAGAGGTTATGGGCTCCCAGGACCACCCGCACCGCGCGGACGTTTCTGCCGGGGAGGGAGAGGCGGGGCTCAGGGGCGGCCCCGGGGGTCGGGGCTCAGCCGCGCCTTGTCGTCCCCATCCGGCGACGGGCCTGAGGGCGAAGGTGCTCGAGGGGCCCCGCGGGCCCTGGACGGACCCCCCCCGCCAGCAGCCCCGGCCCCGGCCTCCCCCCACCCACCTCACAGACCGGGACGCGGGGTCCGAGCCGGGCGCGCACACTCCCGGCTACTCACACATTCGCCACGCAGTGCGCGGCCGACATGACGAAGTTGGGCGCAATCAGGGTGGCGCCGCAGAAGTGGCCTCCGCGCAGCTGCAGGGACACCATGAAGGGCCACGCGTGGGGCCGCGCTCGCCGGCCCCCCACAATCTCCGAGGCCAGCGCGGTGCCTGGGGACACACCGGGTGCGGGTGCTGAGTGCCTGCCAAGGAGCCTGTCCCCTCCCGGCCACGGGGCCTCTGGATCCCCCACCAGGAACCCACGGGATCCCCCACCGGGAACCCACGGGATCCCCCACCGGGAACCCACGGGATCGGGGCCGTTCGCACCCCTGTTGTTCAGATGAGGAAACTGAGGCACGGAGAGGCAAAGGGACCTCCCCACGGTGCCCCTCCAAGGCACAGACAGACCTGGACTTGAACCCAGAGGGCGACCTGCGACCCCCCCCCCCTCCCCGGTTTTCAAACCCCAACTCTGGGCTCCTGGTGGTGGCTTCACCGCTCAGAACCTCAGTCTCTTCTGGTCTCCTTGTCCCAGCTGGCACCTCCCCTGTGAGGATGAGGGACCCACACTGGTGGGGCCCTCTATGGAGAGGTGGGAACAGAACCCGGGACAGAGGGAGCAGCGGGAGGTTGGACTCAAAAACTCACCCCCCAGCAGCAAGGCCGGCAGGACACAGGCGAGGAAAAGACACGCGAGTCGGCGGCCGAGGGTCATGGTGGGGCTGGGGCTCCGGGGTCTCTGCCCCTCCGTGCCCGCCCGGCTCCTCTTATAGCCCTGTGCTGGGAGGCCGTTGCATTGCCCCACGGCCGGCCAGCGCCCTCCACTTCCTCTCCCCTGGCACAGGGCGTTGATGAAAAGGGGGAGAAGGGGGACAAGACGCTGGATTGGCTCGGGTGGGGCCTCCAGACAAAATTCAGGATGCACAATCGCATTCAAATTTCAGATAATCAATGTGGGTTTTTTAATTTATTTTTTTGGAGACAGAGTCTTGCTCTATCGCCCAGGCTGGAGTGCGGTGGCGTGATCCCGGCTCACGGCAACCTCCGCCTCCCAGGTTCAAGTGATTCTCCTGCCTCAGCCTCCTGAATAGCTGAGATTACAGGCACCTGCCACCACTCCCGGCTAATTTTTGTATTTGTAGTAGAGACAGTGTTTCGCCCTGTCGGCCAGGCTGGTCTTGAACATCTGACCTCGGGTGATCCGCCTGCCTCAGCCTCCCAGAGTGCTGGGATCACAGGCGTGAGCCACTGCGCCTGGCTAATTTTTTGTATTTTTAGTAGAGACGGGGTTTCACCGTGTTGGCCGGGCTGGTCTCGACGTTTTTTTTTTAATCTAAGTCTCTTCCAAATGAGGCCCAGGATATACTTACCCGAAATTCAGATTTAACCGAGCGTTGCTGTGTTTTTGCCAAACCTGCCAAACCTAGACCTGAGGGACTTGATGGGGGTGGCCTCGCCTGCCTCAGTTTACCCAGGGCCCTGTGATACCGGCCACATGCAGCTGTGTCGCCTGCCTCTGTTTATCCAGGGCCCCGTGATACCGGCCACATGCAGCTGTGTCACCTGCCTCAGTTTACCCAGGGCCCCGTGATACGGCCACATGCAGCTGTGTCACCTGCCTCAGTTTACCCAGGGCCCTGTGATACGGCCACATGCAGCTGTGTCGCCTGCCTCAGTTTACCCAGGGCCCTGTGATACCGGCCACATGCAGCTGTGTCGCCTGCCTCAGTTTACCCAGGGCCCTGTGATACCGGCCACATGCAGCTGTGTCGCCTGCCTCAGTTTACCCAGGGCCCTGTGATACCGGCCACATGCAGCTGTGTCGGGCACTCACTGCGCAATAGGCACTTCTCTGGTCCTTCCCAGGGTTCCTGTTTGGGAACTGAGGCACGTCAAGGGCCTCCCCCAGGAGCTGCGAGTGTAACCCAGGCCTCTGGGACCCGCAGCTGGACGGAGATCTGGGGCCGGCTCACTCCAGCCGCTCCCTGAACCTCAGGGCTCATTCTTGGGGGCCAGGCCTTCCATCCTCTCCTCGTCTGTTGCCTCCAACGGGGAACTCACTTTCACCCAGGCTCACGGTCAGTCCCTGGACACCAGCTGGGGCTCTGACAATCTCTCCCGCCCTTCTGCCTTGGTGAGCTTCCCTGAAGCCCTCCCCGCCTGAGGCAGGGGCTGGGCGGGCATCTGGCAGGGCTGCTGGAGAGAGAATTCCTGTCCAGGCCGGGAGGCTGGAGTGAGGACCAAGCCTGAGGGCTTCCGCCTGGAGGAACTGGCAGGGGAGCTGGAGTCCCAGCTGCGGGAATGGGATTCCCAGGACCCAGCCCCGGGCTCCGGGCCCCGTTCCTCTTCCCATCTCCCCCACGATGTTCCAGCTGCAACGGCCGGGCCAAGGCTGTCGCAAGAACCAACGTCCTCCTGGCTCCAGGACAAGGGGAGGGGAAGGGAACCAACGGGCCTGTCTCCAGGAATAGGCGGGGCGAGGGCACCCGGGGACACGCAGAGCCTGGGCCAGGCTGGAGTCCTGACGTGACCACAGGCAAGTGGACCCCCATGGCTCTCGGGTTAGGGAGACAATGGCCCTGCCCTCCCAGAGCCTGGCACACAGCAGGCGCTCAGTCCATGTCTGCCCTGTCCTCAGCTTAATCAGACACACACTACCCTGCCTTCTCCCCTCCCCTTTTGGCAGGGTTCCCACCTTGCTGCCTTAACATCACCACAGTGCACTTAGTAAGCGCCTACTGTCTACACAGCCCTGTTTCAAGTCGGGGGTGGGGGGATTTCAGGGGTGGGGGACGCTGTATCTTTGGAAGGGGCTTGGCCTCCAGCACGGAGATCAGACTTGGCGTCAGCTGCATTTATTGAGCACCAGCTGTATACTACATTCTCACGTGCAGTCTTTATTAAGTGTGCCGACGCTGGGTTCATATCCTGGTTCTGGTGTGGCCATTTGGCCACTGTGTAACTTCAGGCCCCTGAAATAAACTCTCCGTGACTCAGTTTCCTCCTCTGTAAAATTATAATCGTAGGATCCATCACATAAACCTGTCAAGAGGATGAAATAAATTCACGTTCGTAAAGTTCTTAGCTAAGAAAGTGTTGTCTGGCCGGGCGCGGTGGCTCAGGCCTGTAATCCCAACACTTTGGGAGGCTGAGGCGGGTGGATCACCTGAGGTTGGGAATTCCAGCCTGACCAACATGGACAAACCCCGTCTCTACCAAAAATACAAAATTAGCCTGGCGTGGTGGTACCTGCCTGTAATCCCGGCTACTCGGGAGACTGAGGCAGGAGAATTGCTTGAACCTAGGAGGCGGAGGTTGCAGTGAGCCGAGATCATGCCACTGCACTCCAGCCTGGGCGACAAGAGCAAAACTCCGTCTCAAAAAAAAAAAAGAAAAAAGAAAGTGTTGCTTTGAGAGCTGGTTCACCATTAACTGTGGCAGGGAAGGTAGGGGTGTTATGGTCACAGCAGGTGTAGACTCCGAGGGGGACGTGGGGTCTTCTGGGAGGCCAGGAGATTGCTAAGATTACAGTGACCTGGAGGTGTTCATATGTAAAGAGTCACTGAGGACCCACCTGGGCAACACAGCCAGACCCCGTCTCTACAAAAACTAAGAAAATAGCTGGGTGTGGTGGCACCTGTAGTCCCAGCTACTCGGGAGGCTGAGGTGGGAGGATCACTTGAGCCCAGGAGGTTGAGGCTGCGGTAAGCCAAGATTGCACCACTGCACTACAGACTGGGCGACAGAGTGAGACCCTGTCTCAAAAATAAATAAGTAGGCCAGCTGTAAATAAGTAAGTAGGCTCACGCCTGTAAACCCAGCACTTTGGGAAGCTGAGGCGGGTGGACCACCTGAGGTCAGGAGTTCGAGACCAGCCTGGACAACGTGGTGAAACCCTGTCTGTACTAAAAATATAAAAATTAACTGGGCGTGGTGGTCTGTGCCTGTGGTCCCAGCTACTCCGGAGGCTGAGGCAGGAGAATCGCTTCAACCCGGGTGGCGGAGCTTGCAGTGAGCCGAGATCACACCACTGCACTCCAGCCTGGGTGACAGAGCGAGACTCTGTCTCAAAAAAATATTAAAAAGAAAAAAAAAACACCAGCAATGAGCTTCATTTCTTCTCTACACGTGTCCTGGAGCAGGTCGTCCCCTCTCTGTGGCTAATGCCTCCTTCTAGTGGCCACTTGCCCGTCTTTGAGCTGGACTGTGAGTCCCACCTCTTCCCCGCCTCGGACCTCCCCTCTGGCCACCCCCCCACCCAGTTCATTGCTCATGCTTCTACCAGGGAACTCCTGCCCTGCCTACCCCTCCTACGAGAAATAGCGCTCCAACCCCCATTACCCCTCCCCTGCACCCACATCCCTCCCCTGCCTGCCCTCCTCCCCGTCCCCTGGCCTCTAGCCCTCAGGTCTCTGCCTGGACTGTGCCCCCTGCCTGGCAGCCCTTCGGATGTTTCTGTTCACACCTTGATATGCAGCTCTGGCACTGCCACCTCCTCCAGGAAGCCCCCCAGGCTGCTTCCCCATCCCCATCCCCTTCCTCAAGGAGTCCCTGAGCCAGCAGGGACAGTTCTAGGAAACGTCTGGGGCGAGTCCATTTTCCAGATGAGGAAACTGAGGCACGGAGATGAATAACAACCTGCCCAGGGCCACCCTGATGGGGCCGGGTTAGAACCCACAGCCACGAGCATCCAGGAGAGAGACCCCCTGCAACCTGGGCCCCCATCCCCCGCTCCGACTCCCCCCATCCTGAGTTTGGGGCTCGGGGACTTGAACCCAGGGGACCTCTCCCTGGTTCCCTCCCTATATGGGAAGGACAGACAGGAGCCAGGGGGAGTTTCAACGTTTATTGAGGTCACGGTGGGCAGTTCCCCCTCCCCTCCCTATATGGGAAGGACAGACAGGAGCCAGGGGGAGTTTCAACGTTTATTGAGGTCACGGTGGGGTGAGGTGCAGGGCCGGCCTGTCTCCCGGAGCCCCGTGGGAGGGAGTGTGGGGGGACGGGTGGGGCCGTCCCGGACGCCACAGTGTTCGGGGAAGAGCTGCTTCTGTCCAAAGATCCGCCTCGAGGGTTTGGAGCCAGGCTCGGGGTCCCGGCCAGCGCTGTGGGAGGGGCGGTTCAGGGGCGGCCCTTGGCCTCCACACGGCGCAGCGTGGAACGGATCCAGTCCACGTAGAGGGCTACCCGCGTGAAGAAGTCAGGGAAAAGGCGGGTGGCACATCCCCAGATCACGAAGGAGTCTATTCCTTGGATGATGCCATCACAGATCAGGGGGCCACCTGAGTCTCCCTGGAGGACAGGGACGGCCAGTCACCCATCAGGGGCCACCTGAGTCTCCCTGGAGGATGGGGACGGCCAGTCACCCATCAGGGGCCACCTGAGTCTCCCGGGAGGATGGGGACAGCCAGTCACCCGGGCTGGCCCCAGGCAGCCAGGAAGGGGGCTGGGGTAGCCACAGCTGTTTCAGAATAAAATGCTTCCAATATGGAACTTTCTTTCTTTCTTTCTCTCTCTCTCTCTCTCTCTCTCTCTTTCTTTTTCTTTCTTTCTTTCTTTCTTTCTCTCTTTTTCTTTCTTTCTTCTTTCTTTCTCTCTCTATCTCTTTCTTTCTTTCTCCTTTTGTTTTGTTTTGTTTTGTTTTTGTTTTGTTTGCGACAGAGTCTCGCTCTGTCACCCAGGCTGGAGTGCAGTGCCGTGATCTCGGCTCACTGCAACCTCTGCCTCCCGGGTTCAAGTGATTCTCCTGCCTCGGCCTCCCGAGTAGCTGGCTGTCTTTCTCTCGAGACAGGGTCTCGCTCTGTTCTCCAGGCTGGAGTGCAGTGGCACAATCATAGCTCACTGCAACCTCGAACTCCCCAGGCTCAAGTGATCCTCCTGCCTTAGCCTCCTGAGTAGCTGGGCCTACAGGCTCACATCACCATGCCCAGCTAATATTTAAATTATTTGTAGAGATGCCACCCTGCTATGTTGCCCAGGCTGGTCTTGAACTCCTGGACTCAAAAGATCCTTCCGCTTTGGCCTCCCAAAGTGCTGAGATTACAGGCGTGAGCCACCACTGCTGGCCTGGAATTTTCTTTAAAATGTGTGAGCACCAGCCAGGCATCACTTGATGCCAGGAGTTCAAGACCAGCCTGGTCAACATGGAGAAACCTCATCTCTACTAAAAATACCAAAAAAATTAGCCAGGCACGGTGGCAGGTACCTGTGCACCTAGTTACTCAGGAGGCTGAGGCAGGAGAATACCTTGAACCTGGGAGGTGGAGGTTGCAGTGAGCTGAGATCTCACCACTGCACTCCAGCCTGGACAACAGAGCGACACTCCGTCTCAAAAACAAACAAAAAGTGTGAGCAGGGAGGGGCTGAGGTCTTTCGTAGGAACTGGGCATTTATGGGCCTCCCGCTGGATACCTGGAGTCCTGGATTCTGGAAGGGGCCGCCGGTGAGGGCGGATGGGTCTCCCACACCTTCCTGTGGTCCTAGAGGGGAGTGGGGGGCAGGGAACCCCCAGACCCACCCAAGCAGCCAGGTGCAATGTGAGCGCCCCCACCCCGCTGAGCCTGCCCGTTGGGTGTTGGGTGTGCCCACCTTCCAGGTGGGGAGACTGAGGCACAGCATGAAGCCACACAGCTAAGAGGTGGCGTGGAACCCTGGCCGCCGCCCTCCTCCCCTCATGGCAGCCCGGTGCCCGGGGTGGGGGCACGGTTACTTACGAAGCAGATGCCGGCCTTGCGGCGAGGGACGAAAGTGCAAATGTTATGTGGCCGGCAGAAGAAGGTGACCACGGTGACATTGAGCTCCTGCAGGACCTGGGCTGGGGGGTCGTGGGCACCCACGCGGCCCCAGCCCATGGCCAGGCACTGGGTGCCGTGGGGCACTGGCTGGTCCTGCTGTGGCAGCTGGACTGTGGCGACGGAGGCACTGAGGTTGGCTGGGCTGCTCAGCTGGGGCAGAAGGCAGGCGGCGGTGAGACGCTGCTTCCAGGTCACGGTGGCCGCCCGGGCCGCCCTCCCACCACACCCACCACACCCACCACCTCAAAACGCCGCGGATGCCGCTCCCTCCGCCTGGGCCCCACGACCCCCTTTGTCCCATTTGTCACTATTGTATTCATTCATTTTCTTTCCTTCTTTCTTTCTTTTGAGATGGAGTCTTGCTCTGCCACCCAGGCTGGAATGCAGTGGCGTGATCTCGGCTCACTGGAACCTCCCGGAGCCATCCCATTGGGTGAGGTGGCCAGCCTGGTCTCAAACTCCCAACCTCAAGTGATCTGCCTTCCTCAGCCTCCGAAAGTGCTGGGATTACAAGTGTGAGCCATAGTGCCCGGCCATTCATTCATGTTTTCTTTCTTTCTTTCTTTTCTTTTTTTTTTTTTTGAGATGGAGTTTCGCTCTTGTTGCCCAGGCTAGAGTGCAGTGGCACAATCTCGGCTCACTGCAACCTCTGCCTCCTGGGTTCAAGCAATTCTGCTGCCTCAGCCTCCCAAGTAGCTGGGACTACAGACACCTGCCGTCACGCCCAGCTAATTTTTGTATTTTTAGTAGACACGGGGTTTGCCATATCGATCAGGCTGGTCTCAAACTCCTGACCTCAGGCGATCCGCCCGCCTCGGCCTCCCAAAGTGCTGGGATTACAGCCACCGCCCCTGGCCCATTCATTCATCTTCAAAGCACTTTTTTTTTGAGATGGGGTCTTGCTCTGTCGCCGAGGCTGGAGTGTGGTGGCATGATCACAGCTCACTGCAGCCTCAACCTCCTGGGCTCAAGTGATCCTCCCATCTCAGCTCATGAGTGGCTTGGCGTGTGCTACCATGCCCGGTTGATTTTTAAATTTTTCTTTTGTAGGCTGGACGCGGTGGCTCTCTCCTATAATCCCAGCACTTTGGGAGGCTGAGGAGAGCAGATCACTTGAGGTCAGGAGTTCGAGACCAGCCTGGCCAACGTGGCAAAACACCGTCTCTACTAAAAATACAAAAATTAGCCAAGCGTGTTGGTGCATGCCTGTAATCCCAGCTACTCAGGAGGCTGAGGCAGGAGAATTACTTGAACCTGGAAGGCAGAGGTGGCAGTGAGCCGAGATTGCACCACTGCACTCCAGCCTGGATGACTGAGTGAGACTCTGTCTAAAAAAAAAAAAAAAAAAAATGTCTTTTATAGAGATGGGGTCTCACTAGGTTGGTCAGGCTGCTCCCAAACTCCTGGCCTCAAGTGATCCTCCCATCCCAGCCTCCCAAAGTACTGGGAGTACAGGCGTGAGCCACAGTGCCCAGCCCCAAGCACTTACTGAGCACCACCTGTATGCCCAGTCCCGTTCTAAGCCACATGAGTCCAATAACGAACAACACAGACAAAAATCCTCTGCCCTGGGGAGCTGATCTTTCTGGGTGGGAGGAGGCTAGGAGGGCCCCATGAATGAGAGGAGCACGCGGTTCAGTGGAGAACAGTGAATCGGGGAGGGCTGTGGCTGTCCTCGCCACTTCCAGTGAGGTCAGGGGAGGCGCCGGAGGAGGCGAGGGCACCTGGCTTTCTGGGGGAACAGCACACCGGGCGGAGGCGCAGGCAGGGGAGAGGGGCAGGCAGGGGAGAGGCGCGCAGGGGAGAGGCGCGGGCGGGGGAGAGGCGCGGGCGGGGGAGAGGAGCGGCCGGGGGAGAGGCGCGGGCAGGGGAGAGGCGCGCAGGGGAGAGGCGCGGGCAGGGGAGAGGGGCGGGCAAGGGAGAGGCATGCAGGGGAGAGGCGCGGGCAGGGGAGAGGGGCGGGCAAGGGAGAGGCGCGGGCGGGGGAGAGGCGCGGGCGGGGGAGAGGCGCGGGCGGGGGAGAGGCGCGCAGGGGAGAGGCGCGGGCGGGGGAGAGGCGCGGGCGGGGGAGAGGCGGGGAGGAGGAGTGGCCTGGTGTCCAAGGAGCGGTCTCCCCCGGCCAGTGCCACTGGACCCAGGCTGCAGCGGCCTCGGTCGTGGCCCGGTATACAGTGGGTGCTCAATGAATGCTGGCTGCAGGAATGGGGGTCCCGGAGCCCTCTGGCCGTGCCCCTCCGAGCCCTCGCGGCCCTGCCCGCCCACCTGGATGAGGAGAACGTCGTTCAGTTTGTTCTCCGCGTCGTAGTTGTTCAGAAACACCTGAGCCACCGAGAAGTGCTGCTGGGTGGGCTCCTGCGTCCGCACGTTGTGGGCTCCGAGCACCACGTTCACCAGGCGCTGGGGTCTGCGGGGGTGGGGTGGTCACTCCTCGGCGCCCTGGACACTCGCCGCCGCCCACAGCCGGCCCTTCCCGAGGCCGCGGTGCAGCCCCAGACCCCTCCCTCGGCGACCCTGCCCCGGGCCTCCCCCCAGAACTGCCCACGCGCGCGGGGCCTGGGGTCTGCAGACGGGGCTTAGCTGGGTCCTCCCCGGGCAGAGGGACAGTGGCCGGGCCAGGGCTGGAGGAAGAGGGCGGGGCGGGCGGACAGGGGTGTGGAGGCGGCCGCTCACATGTCCCGCAGGCAGTGCGCGGCCGTCAGCACGAAGCTGGGGTGGATCAAGGTGCCTCCGCAGAAGTGGCTGCCCGGGTTCCCCCGCATCTGCAGGGAGGCCATGTAGGGCCGGGAGTGTGGCTGCGCCTCGTGCCCGCCCACGATCTCCGCAGCTCGGGCAGCACCTGCAGGGGGGGAGTCCAGGCGTCAGGGAGCCCCCAGGCTGCAGGGAAAGGGGGGATGGCAGAGCAGCCCCTGGGCCTCTCCGAGCCTCCGTCTCCCGATCTGCAACCCGGTCAGTGCCTGCTGGCTGGTGGGAAGGACTCAGCGCCCAGGCCGGGGGGGTTATAATTACGACGATTTCCAAAGGCGCCCTGGTGGCAGCTTTCAGTCCTGAGAGTCAGGAAGGCTTTTAAGACGCAGACCAGGTGGCTGGGTGCAGTGGCTCACGCCTGTAATCCCAACACTTTGGGAGGCCGAGGCAGGAGGCTCCCTTGAGCTCAGGAGTTCAAGACCAGCCTGGGCAAAATTGTGAGGACCCCATCTCTACAAAAAATTTTAAAATTAGCCAGGCATGGTGGTGTGCACCTGTCGTCCCAGCTACTTGGGAGGCTGAGGAGGGAGGATCGCTTGAGCCCAGGAGGTCAAGGCTGCAGTGAACTGAGATCACACCACTGCACTCCAGCCTGGGCAACAGAGCAAGACCCTGTCTCTAAAACAAAATTTAAAAAAATGTTTTTAAAGAAGCAGAAAAATTGGTCGGGTGCGGTTGGCCCACGCCTGTAATCCCAATACTTTGGGAGGCCGAGGTGGGTGGATCACCTGAGGTCAAGAGATGGAGACCATCCTGGCCAACATGGTGAAACCCTGTCTCTACTAAAAATACAAACATTAGCTGGGCGTGGTGGCACGTGCCTGTAGTCCCAGCTACTCCGGAGGTTGACGCAGGAGAATCGCTTGAACCCAGGAAGCGGAGGTTGTGGTGAGCCAAGATCGCCCCACTGCACTCCAGCCTGGCAACAGAATGACACTCCGTCTCAAAAAAAAAAAAAAAAAAAATTAGCCAGGTGTGGTGGTTCGCACCTGTAATCTCAGCTGCCTGGGAGGCTGAGGCAGGAGAATCGCTTGAACCCAGGAGGCACAGGTTGCAGTGAGCCGAGATCACACCACTGCACTCCAGCCTGGGCAACAGAGTGAGATTCTGTCTCAAAAAAAAAAAAAAAAAAAAAAAATCCTGGGCGCAGTGGCTCATGCCTGAGTGAGACCCCATCTCAAAAAAACAAAACAAAACAAAATAAAAAAAAAGAAGCAAAAAAAAAAAAAAAAATCAGCCAACAAAGAGACCCATTTTGCAGATGAACAAACTGAGGCATTGAAAATCCCCCTCAGGTCAGGAGTTCGAGACCAGCCTGACCAACGTGGTGAAACCCCATCTCTACTAAAAATACAAAAACTAGCCAGGTGTGGTGGTGTGTGCTTGTAATCCCAGCTACTCAAGAGGCGGAGGCAGGAGAATCATTTGACCCCAGGAGGCTGAGGCTGCAGTAAACTGAGATTGCACCACTGCACTCCAGCCTGGGCGACAGAGCAAGATTCCGTTTCAAAAAAGAAAAAAAAAGGGCCAGGCGCGGTGGCTCACGCCTGTAATCCCAGCACTTTGGGAGGCTGAGGCAGGCGGATCACGAAGTCAGGAGATCGAGACCATCCTGGCTAACACCTTGAAACCCCGTCTCTACAAAAATTACAAAAAATTATCCAGGCATGGTGGTGGGCGCCTGTAGTCCCAGCTACTCGGGAGGCTGAGGCAGGAGAAAGGCGTGAACCCGGGAGGCTGAGCTTGCAGTGAGCCGAGATCGCGCCACTGCACTCCAGCCTGGGCGACAGGGCGAGACTCCGTCTCAAAAAAAAAAAAAAGAAAAAGAAAAAGAAAATCACCCTCAGGATAGGGACCTGAGGGGGCCCATGCTCTCTTCTTCCCCTGATTCCAGCATCACTAACTCCTCGACCCTTTCACTCACTCACTCATTCATTCATTCACTCATTCATTCGTTCACTCATTCACTCATTCACTCATTCATTCACTCATTCACTCATTCATTCACTCACTCATTGATTCATTCACTCATTCATTCGTTCACTCATTCACTCATTCACTCATTCATTCACTCACTCATTGATTCATTCACTCATTCATTTGTTCACTCATTCACTCACTCACTCATTCATTCACTCATTCATTCATTCATGCATATTCACTGAGCATTTGCTGAAGGCTGGGTGCTGTCCAGGAATTCGCCTGTTACTAGCTAATTCCCAAAACAGCTCCTCAGGAGGGAAGGGCTGGGTTTTGCCCGTTTTACAGATAGGCAACTGAGTCAAATGGCCAGGGCTCCCCCTTGCCCTTGTCCTCCCCACCCCTGCAAGCGTTGGTCCCGAGCAGTGAGTGGAGTCTCCCCTGACCCTGCCTCAGTTTCCCCAGCTGTGCCAGAAGGGCTTTGGATGGACCTCGTGGTGGATATTTCCCCACAATCCACCGGGGCCTGGAGGCTGGATGGATGGGCACGTGGCTCACTCACCGCTCAGCAGCAAGGCCAGCAGCACGGACGCCAGGGCAGGGCTGGGGGGCCGGTGAGCCATGGTGGGGTCCAGGGTGCACCCACGGTCAAGCTCCTCTTATAGCCCAATGCCAGAGGCCGTTGAGTTGCCCAATGCCCAGGCTGGGTCCCCACTTCCTCCTTTTGCCTTGGGAGCCTGGGAGTCAGAACGGACTCCGGGGAGGAGGTGGGGGCTTTGGGCTCAAGGTCCCAACCTTTGTGGGGGCGGGGAGGCTGGCTGTCACCCACCCAAGTCGGGGGTCCCTGGCCAGGTGGGCAACATGGCCACAGCCCTCAGAGCAACACATGCCCACGTGCCACCCACAAGGAGACGCCTCCCTGACGAGGTCCCTGTGGCCCCAGCAAAGCCGGCCGTGGCAGGTGTGTCCCGTGGGTGGGTGAGCTGGAAACGGACAGACAGCAGGACGTAGCAGGGGACAGGATGCAGAGCTCGGGAAGGCAGGGCCCCACCACGAGTGCCCTCAGTGCCTCACCTGAGGCCCCAGCGAACATCCTCCTGCCAGTTTTGTCTGGGGGTTTTCTTCCCCCTTTAAGGCCAGGATTCTCAATCAAGAGGTGATTCTGCCCCCAGGGGACCCTGGGCGAGGTCTGAGGACACCTGTGGCTGTCACGAAAGGGGAGCTCCTGGCATGGAGTGGGTGGAGGCCAAGGATGATGCCTAGCACCCTGCAGTGCCCAGGACGGGCCTGCCCCAGAGAAGGATCCAGCCCCGATGTCCACAGGGCCCAGGGGAGAGACCAGTGTTCATTATTTGGGGAAAAAAATGGCCAGGTGCGGTGCCTCACACCTGTAATCCCAGCACTTTGGGAGGCCGAGGCGGGTGGATCGCCTGAGGTCAGGAGTTCAAGACCAGCCTGGCCAACATAGTGAAACCCCATCTCTACTAAAAATACAAAAATTAGCTGCGCGTGTTGGCGGGCGCCTGTAGTCCCAGCTACTCAGGAGGCTGAGGCAGGAGAATCACTTGAGCCTGGGAGGCGAAGGTTGCAGGGAGCCAAGATCGTGCCACTGCACTCCAGCCTGGGCAACAGAGCAAGACTCCATCTCAAAACATAAATAAATAAAAATAAAAAATAAAAAATCCAGTCTGCCCCCTGCTCACACCGGACACCAGAATAAACTCCCGATGGGGCGTACGGCATAAACCCGGGGGACCCCAGCTCCCGGGACTCGCCTCCTCTCTCCCTCCCACTCAGGGTGTGGATTTCAATGTGTGCAGCCTCCTGGGACCTCAGCAGGGCAGAGGATCATGGGACTCAGAGTCTCTTGGGGTCTGTGGAATCCTCTAACCCTGGGGTGATTCTGCCCCCAGGGGTCCCTGTGTGAGGCCTGGAGACATCCGTGGTTGTCACGACTTGGAGGGAGCTCCTGGCAGGGCCCTGCAGTGCCCAGGATGGCCCCGCCGCAGAGACAAATCCAGCCCCCATGTCTGCAGTGCCGGAAACGGGGGAAAGCCGAGGACAGAGGATAAAATTATTTATTTATAACTGAACGGTTTAAACCTACAGTGAAATGGAGAGAAGCACTGAATGAACTTGGAGGCCAAAAAGAAAAAAAGCTTTTTAACGTTTCATTTGGAAAGGATTTCACGCTTACAGAAGTCCAAAGGGTCCAAACTCCCTCCCCGCTCCCCAAACTCCCTCCCCCGGCCTCCCTCCCCCAGCTTCCCTAAATTCTGTCCTCTTGCTCAACCCTCCAGGCTGTGATCGAAGCCAGGGCGCGAAAGTTGATTCCAAATGGCCCCCTCTGCCCCAGCCCCCTGAGTATCACCAGCCACCCTTTGCTGGGTCCTGGGTACACAAGCCACCCATCTTCAGATGTCAGGGTCTCCTCCAGCGGGCGCAGTCCCTCTGCCCTCCCTCAGCCCTTGGGACCATTGAGGAGAGCTGGTGGTCACTCTGCAGAGCGTCCCTCCGTGGGGATGGTCCTGGGTGGCCTCAGGACTCAATGGAGGGAGTCCCGGGCGTGGCGTGTGTCTGTCTCAGGCCCCCCACGTCGAAGCCCATGGCTTCGGCCTGTCTCGTGCTGATGGTAATAACCTTGACCACGTGGTCAGGGCATCTGCCGGTTCCTGCACTGTCCAGTTACTGTTTTCCCCTTTGGATTTTTTTTTTTTTTTGAGACAGAGTCTCGCTCTGTCACCAGGCTGGAGAGCAGTGGTGCGATCTCAGCTCACTGCAATCTCCGCCTCCCGGGTTCAAACAATTCTCCTGCCTCAGCCTCCTGTATAGCTGGGATTATAGACGCCCACCACCACGCCTGGCTAATTTTTTTTTTTTTTTGTATTTTTAGTAAAGACGGGGTTTCACTATATTGGCCAGGCTGGTCTCGAACTCCTGACCTCAGGTGACCCGCCCGTAATCCCGCCAAAGTGCTGGGAACACAGGTGTGAGCCACTGCACCTGGCTATATTAATGTATATAACATAGATGTATACATAAAATATGTAGCATGTATATTATTTACATTATATAATATATAATATTTTAAAATATACATATATATTTTTTGAGACAGGGTCTGGCTGTGTCACCCAGGCTGGAGTGCAGTGGTGTAATCATGGCTCACTGCAGCCTCGACCTCCTGGGCTCAAGCAATTCTCCTGCCTCAACCCCCCAAGTAGCTGGGACCACAGGCATGCTCCACCATGTCCAGCTAAAGTTTTTCTTTCTTTTTTTTTTTTTTTTTGGTTGGCTGTTTAATTTTTTGTAGAAATGGGGTCTTGCTATGTTGCCCTGGCTGGTCTTGAACTGCCAGCCTTCAGGGACGCTCCTGCCTTGACCTCCCCAAATGCTGGGATCACAGGCATGAGCCACCATGACCGACCTGATGTGTATTAAAGAACTAGAGCTGTGGGCCGGGCGCGGTGGCTCACGCCTGTAATCCCAGCACTTTGGGAGGCCGAGGCGGGCGGATCACGAGGTCAGGAGATCGAGACCATCCTGGCTAACACGGTGAAACCCCGTTTCTACTAAAAATACAAAAAATTAGCCGGGCGTGGTAGCGGGCGCCTGTAGTCCCAGCTACTCGGGAGGCTGAGGCAGGAGAATGGCGTGAACCCGGGAGGCGGAGCTTGCAGTGAGCAGAGATTGTGCCACTGCACTCCAGCCTGGGCGACAGAGCGAGACTCCGTCTCAAAAAAAAAAAAAAGAAAAAGAACTAGAGCTGTGGCCGGGCGCGGTGGCTGTTGCCTGTAATCCCAGCACTTTGGGAGGCTGAGGCAGATGGATCACAAGGTCAGGAGTTCAAGACCAGCCTGGGCAACATGGTGAAACCCCGACTCTACTAAAAATACAAAAATTAGCTGGGTGTGGTGGCAGATGCCTGTAATCCCAGCTACTTGGGAGGCTGAGGGAGGAGAATTACTTGAACCCGGGAGGTGGAGGGGGCAGTGAGCTGAGATCGCGTCACTGCACTCCAGCCTGGGCAACAGAGCGAGACACCGTCTCAAAATAAAAGGGTTATTCTCATTCAACAAAAGTGCTGTTGGTTTCAGCCATGAGTCAGCTCATGCTGAGGCAAGCTGTTTGGCTTGCAGTCCTCAGTTTCCCCACCTGTAAAGGCGGGTGAGGACGGTAATAGGACCTTCTGCAGGGCAGCAGTGGGGGTCGACGGATTTGAGGTTTCTTGATTTGTTTTTACATGGAGTTTTGTTCTTGTCACCCAGGCTGGAGTGCAGTGGTGTGACCTTGGCTTCCTGGGTTCAAGCCATTCTCCTGCGTCAGCCTCCTAAGTAGCTGGGATTACAGGCACCTGCCACCACGCCTGAATAATTTGTTTTTTGTATTTGTAGTAGAGACGGGATTTCACCATGTTGGCCAGGCTGGTCTCGAACTCCTGACCTCAGGTGATCCGCCGGCCTCAGCCTCCCAAAGTGCTGGGATTACAGGCGTGAGCCACCGCGCCCTGCCTTTTTTTTTTTTTAATAGAGAGGGGTCTTGCTATGCTGCCCAGGCTCGTCTGGAACTCCTGGGCTCCAGCGATCCTCCCCCACCATCTGGCCACTACCGAATTGTTAAGTGGGTGAATTGCTTGGTGTGTGTGAAGGACATCTCAATAAAGCTGTCAACCAAAAAAAAAAGAAAAGAAAGAAAAGAAAGACCTTGCACACACACTGCTGGATCTAGCACACGCGAGAGCTGCCCAGGGGGCTGCCCCGTCCTCACTGTACGTGGGCTTCCCCGTCAGGATCTGTTTCCACGCAAGGCTGATGCAGCCCGGTCCTGACCGGAGGGTCCCAGCACCGTCCCGCGGGCCCCGGGTCCTCCAGGCTCCCTGTGCGTCCTGGGGGGACTCAAAAGCACAGGCCAGGGCGACAGGAGCGCTGGGAGCGGGTAGCAGGGAGGGTTCCGTGGAACACGCTGGGGGCTTTGCAGGGGTCGGCCTGGGGGCAGAGGTAGTGGGGGCCCCTTCCTGTACCAACCGTAGGTGGCGCAACTGGTAACGGCTTCAGGGATCGCAGGTGACGCCGCCTGGGGCCGAGGGGAGACCCATGCGGGGCTCAGGCCTGTGTCTCTGTCTCTGTCTCTCTCCCCGCCCTCTTTCTGTCTCCTTCTCTGTCTCTGTCTCTGTCTCCCTCTGTCTCTGTCTCTCTGTCTCAGTCTGTCTCTGTCTCCCTATATCTGTCTGTCTCTTCATCTCTGTGTCTGTGTCTGTGTCTCTCTGTGTCATCGCTGTCTCCCTTTTTTAAAACTATCTCTCTCAGTCTCTCTGGCTCTGTCCCTCTTTTTCCGTCTCTCTCTGTCTCTGTGTCTCTGTCCGTCTCTGTCTCTCCATCTTTCTTGTTCTCTCTTTTTTCTCTCCTCTACTACTTTCTTTTTCTTTCTTTCTTTCTTTTTTTTTTTGAGATGAAGTCTTGCTCTGTTGCCCAGGCTGGAGTGCAGTGGCGCGATCTCGGCTCACTGCAAGCTCCGCCTCCTGGGTACAAGCGATTCTCCTGCCTCAGCCTCCTGAATAGCTGGGATTACAGGCGCCCACCACCACACCCAGCTAATTTTTGTATTTTTAGTAGAGACGAGGTTTCACCATGTTGGCCAGGCTGGTCTCGAACTCCTGACCTCAGGTGATCCACCCGCCTCGGCCTCCCAAAGTGCTGGGATGACAGGCGTGAGCCACTGTGCCCGGCCTCCTTTCCTCTCCTCTTTATAAAGGAAAACCTTCTCTCCCTGAGTGACGGGAAGATGCTGGTTCGCCCGCGAGGCTCAGCCTCGCAGTGGTTGTGTTTTGTGTGTGTTTTGTGCCGACCGTTGACCTTCCCGTGTGCTTGGGGCCCTGACACCCGGCCGCCTTCCACACCCCCCAGGCCCATCCACCCACCTGTCCCCTGATGCCCCCTCTCACGGGATTTCTAAGCCAAACCCAGACATTTCACAATCTGTTCTGAGAATTCCGAAAATTTAAAAACCTTCTCAAGACACCAGTGAGTGGGGCCGGGTAGAGGGGCACAGAGAAGAAACAGAACAGCTGTTTTTAGCCTGAGCACAGCTGGCTCTGCCAGGAGGCTGCACGCGTCGGGGCCTGGACGGGGCTGCGGGGTGGGGGCTGCACGCACGCGTCGGGGCCTGGACGGGGCTGCGGGGTGGGGGCTGCACGCGTCGGGGCCTGGACGGGGCTGCGGGGTGGCGGGTGGGTCCACGGATGGGACCCCGTTCTATGTCCCTGAAATCCGAGGCGCGGAGAGGACTCGGGCTGCCCACAGTCACACGCAGCCCCGCTCTGAGGGCCCTGCAGCCGGGCTGACCGCTACCAGGGGAACCCGAGAACAGCACCCTTGGGCCCAGGAAGGGGGAGCAGCAGGGGCTGGGGGGAGGAGGGCAGAAACCGCCTCTGGCAGGAATCCCGCCCCAGCAGGGGGACCCTCATGACCGAACGTGGCCCCGAGCCGGGGGCACCAGAAGCCCTTGAACCCCAATCCTGCCTTGGGCCTCAGTTTCCCCATCTGAACAATGATCAGGCAGTGGCTTTGCCTCTCCAAACCCAGGCAGGGCCCCCACCGGCTGGGCTCCTGAGCCATTGGCACCCCTCTCTAGGCTTAGTTTCCCCCTCTGTAAAGAGAACCCGTTGGCCGGGCGCGGTGGCTCACGCCTGTCATCCCAGCACTTTGGGAGGCTGAGGCGGGCGGATCACGAGGTCAGGAGATCGAGACCATCCTGGCTAACACGGTGAAACCCCGTCTCTACTAAAAATACAAAAAATTAGCCGGGCACGGTGGCGGGTGCCTGTAGTCCCAGCTACTCGGGAGGCTGAGGCAGGAGAATGGCGTGAACCCGGGAGGTGGAGGTTGCAGTGAGCCGAGATCGCGCCACTGGACTCCAGCCTGGGCGACAGAGCGAGACTCCGTCTCAAAAAAAAAAAAAAAAAAGGACCCGTTATACCCACAAAAGAAAGAAAAGCAGCAGTTCCAACACAAACCTGCACATGAGTGTCCACAGCAGTGAGGGTCACAGTGGCCGGAAGTGGAGAGGCTCAGACGTCCATCCACAGGGGCCTCGAGCAGCACAGTGAGGCCTCCAGGCGTGGCAACAGGACGCAGCCGTGAAACGGACCCAGCTGTGACCCGACCACGGCGCGGAGGCACCGTGAGGACGTCACGCTCCGTGAGAGACGCCGGACACGAAAGACCACATAGTGTGTGATCCCATTGCTATGAAATGTCCAGGACAAGCCCATCCACAGAGACAGGAAGAGGACGCGTGGGTGCCGCGGACTGGGGAGGGGACAGGGAGTGACGGCTGATGGGGACAGGGATTCCTTTGGCGGTGATGAAATATTCTGGAACTCAACAGAGGTCATGACCACACAACATTGTGAGTGTACCGAAGACCATTGAATTGCACACTTCATTTTATTTTATTTTATTTTTTATTTTATTGAGACAGAGTCTCACTCTATCCCCTAGCCTGCAGTGCGGTGGCTCAATCTTGGCTCACTGCAAGCTCCGCCTCCCGGGTTCATGCCACTCTCCTGCCTCAGCCTCCCGACTAGCTGAGATTACAGGTGCATGCCACCATGCCAGGCTAATTTTTTGTATTTTTAGTACAGACAGGGTTTCACCATGTTGGGCAGGCTGGTCTCAAACTCCTGACCTCAGGTGATTTGCCAGCCTCGGCCTCCCAAAGTGCTGGGATTATAGGTGTGGGCCACCACGCCCGGCTGTACACACTTTAAAAGAGTGAATTCTAAGGCCGGGCACGGTTGCTGAAGCCTGGGAGGCTGAGGCTACAGTGAGCCTTGATCACGCCACTGCACTCCAGCCTGGGCATCAGAGAAAGACCGTGTCTCAAAAATAAATGAAATAAGGTCAGGCGCGGTGGCTCACGCCTGTAATCCCAGCACTTTGGGAGGCTGAGATGGGTAGATCACCTGAATTCAAGAGTTCAAGACCAGCCTGGTCGACATAATGAAACCCCATCTCTACTAAAAAATATATATATATAAATTGGCTAGGCATTGTGGCTCACACCTGTAGTCCCAGCTACTCAGGAGGCTGAGGCAGGAGAATTGCTTGAACTGGGGGCGCAGAGGTTGCAGTGAGCCGAGATCGCGCCACTGCACTCCAGCCTGGGTGACAGAGGGAGACTCTGTCTCAAATAAATAAATAAATGAGATAAAAATAGCTCACTGCATCCTCAACCTCTTGGGCTAAAGTGATCTTCCCACTTTAGCCTCCTCAATAGCTGAGACTACAGGTTCTTCTTCTTCTTCTTCTTCCTTCTTCTTCTTCTTCTTCTTCTTCTTCTTCTTCTTCTTCTTATTATTATTATTATTATTATTATTATTATTATTATCATTTTAAGAGACTGGGTCTTGCTCTGTGGACCACGCTGGAGTGCAGTGGTGCGATCACGGCTCACTGCAACCTCCACCTCCTGGACTCAAGCAATCTTCCCACCTCAGCCTCCAGAGTAGCTGGGACGACAGGTGCCACTTACCCGGCTTTTTTTTTTTTTTTTTGAGACGGAGTCTTGCTCTGTCACCAGGCTGGAGTGCAGTGGCGTGATCTCGGCTCACTGCAATCTCCACCTCCCGGGTTCAAGCAATTCTCCTGCCTCAGCCTCCCGAGTAGCTGGGACTACAGGCGCCCGCCACCACGCCTGGCTAATTTTTTGTATTTTTAGTAGAAACGGGGTTTCACCGTGTTAGCCAGGATGGTCTCGATCTCCTGACCTCGTGATCCGCCCGCCTTGGCCTCCTAAAGTGCTGGGATTACAGGCATGAGCCACTGTGCCCGGCCTCTCCTGTGTAATTTTAATAATTTTAAAAATTATTTTTGTAGAGACATGGTTTCACTACGTTGCCCAGGCTGGTCTCAAACTCCTGGGCTCAAACGATGCTCCCACCTTGGCCTCCCAAAGTGCTGAGATTACAGATGTGACTGCCACATCCAGCCATCATATTCATATTTTATTCTGTATTATTTATATATACAATTATATTTATTATTTCATATTCACGTTTTACTGTTTCTATTGGATCCAAGAGGAGAATGTTCCCCGTTTTCTCCCGTGGTTTTTGTTTTTTTTTGAGCTGGAGTCTCGCTGTCGCCCAGGCTGGAGTGCAGTGGCGCCATCTCGGTTCGCTGCAACCTCCGCCTCCCGGGTTCAGGTGATTCTCCTGCCTCAGCCTCCCAAGTAACTGGGATTACAGGCGCCCGCCATCATGCCCGGCTAATTTTTGTATTTTTATAGAGATGGGGTTTCACCAGGTTGGCCGGGCTGGTCTTGAACTCCTGACCTCAGGTGATCCGCCCACCTCGGCCTCCCAAAGTGCTGGGCGGCATTCACTGTGTGACCTCTGGGCAGCCACCCAACCTCTCTGAACCTGGGCCTCCCCCCAACACCCCGCTGTCGGGTGCAGATAACACCAGCCCCTGCTTCCCGGGCTTTGAGGGAATCTCTGAACATCTGACATCTGCACAGGCAGTGCACCTGCGGTGGGTGCCCCTAAGGCCGGTGAAGGTGCCACTCACGCGTCCCCACAGCCCCCTCCCCCACCAATGAACAGAAACCAGGAGCAGAGGAGAGATCGGCTTCTTTATTACAGCCAGGGCCCCTCTGGCCGGAGCGGGGGCAGGGGCGGGGCCGTGGGAGGTGGGTGCGGAGCGCCGGAGGTGTGGAGGGCGGGGCTGGGCTCCATGGGAGGTCACAGGCCCCCCTAGGCTGGCCCCGGTCCCGGGTTGTTGAGAACACCATCGATCCAGTCTCGGAAGAGCGCCACTCGGGTGAAGAAGTCAGGGCCTCGGCCACAGGGCCCCAGGGAAAAGGAGGCCACGCCGTGGGCCAGGCCCTCGCAGACGAGGGGGGTGCCCCCGTCCCCCTGGGCAGGCAGCAGCTGTGTC
Organism: Homo sapiens; assembly: GCF_000001405.40. Lineage (NCBI taxonomy): Eukaryota > Metazoa > Chordata > Mammalia > Primates > Hominidae > Homo > Homo sapiens. The sequence goes on along the minus strand of NT_187622.1, from coordinate 10,536 downwards.
AGGGCGTCCCAGGGCCTGGCTCCCACGCCACCCCAGAACTGCAGAGGCCTCTTGCTGCCCCTGGAACCTACAAGTCCTGATCCAGCCCCAGGGCCTTTGCATGGCTCTTCTCTTTCTCTGCCCTGGTTAACTGCTAGTGGACTTTGGGATCAGTTGCTTTCTGGAGCTTCCTGGCACCTCCAGGCTGGGCCAGGTGCCCCTCCCCTGGCAATCACACGCCTGAGTCCCTCAGTGACCGGCTCTACCATGCCTGCTGGGTCCCCAACCCCCAGCACAGACGTGGCTCACAGCCGGCGTTTGATAGCTACTGTTTCTCAGCCAGGCACGGTGGCTCATGCCTGTTATCCTAACACTTTGGGAGGCCAAGGTGGGTCGATCATGAGGTCAGGAGTTCGAGACCAGCCTGACCCACATGGAGAAACCCTGTCTCTACTAAAAATACAAAATTAGCCGGGCGTGGTGGCGCATGCCTGTAATCCCAGCTACTTAGGAGGCTGAGGCAGGAGAATCGCTTGAACCCAGGAGGCGGAGGTTGCAGTGAGCCGCCGAGATCACGCCACTACACTCCAGCCTGGGCGACAGAGCGAGACTCTGTCTCAAAAAAAAAAAAAAAGATACTGTTTCTCCTACCGTGAAAATGCTCAATCCTGGGGCCCCCCTGCTGTGCCGCCCTCAGCCTGCACTTGCTTTCTCCTGCCACGGAGAGCTCAGTACCTCTCAGGACCCCTCCTCCCGCCACAGGGAGCACTCACATTGCAGATGCCACCGCGGCGGGTGAGCACACCGGTGCACACGTTGTTGGGGCGACACTGGTCCTCGGGGGTCACAGTCACGTTGACAAACCTGGGAAAACGGGAGAGACGCCCCCCACTGCGCTGGCTCCCCCAGCCGGCCACCTGGCATCTGGTGCCGGCTTCCACCGTGGCGTTCTGCAGAGGCAGTGGCAGTATCGTCACGCTGCTGGTGAGGTTGGCCTCACGGTCCAGCTGGGGAAGGAAATGGAGTCAGGGGAGGGTGGCCCTGGGGACTGGAGCCTCATGGGGACCCCTGGGAGCAGAAGTGTCAGCGACATTAACTGTAGTCTGTAAGTGGTTTGCGTTTAATTCCCGGCAGGGGCCGGGTGCGGTGGCTCACGCCTGTATTCCCAGCACGTTGCGAGGCCAAGGTGGGTGGATCACTTGAGGCCAGGAGTTCGAGACCAAACTGGCCAACAAGGTGAAACCCCCGTCTCTACTTTTTTAAATTTTTTAATGATATTTTTGAGATAATTTTATCATTTTCTCAAAGAAAAAAACCAAACATGAAAAACATTCACATGATTCTGTCATAGCAAAAGCATTTGAAAACGACGTCAGTCTCCACCAACAGGAGGCTCCATACGCGAACCGTGGTACATCTGTATGTGTTGCTGTATTGTTTTTGGAAGTTTTTTTTGAGATAGGGTCTGGCTCTGTTACCCAGGCTGGAGTGCAGGGGCGCGATCTCGGCTCACTGCAAGCTCCGCCTCCCGGGTTCAAGCGATTCTCCTGCCTCAGCCTCCTGAGTAGCTGGGACTAGAGGCGCCCGCTGCCATGCCTGGCTAATTTTTGTATTTTTAGTAGAGATGGGGTTTCACCATGTTGGCCAGGCTGGTCTCAATCTCCTGACCTCGTGATCCGCCCACCTCGGCCTCCCAAAATGCTGGGATTACAGGCATGAGCCACCTCACCCGGCAAGATACACACACACACACACACACACACACACACACACACACATATATATTTTTGTAGAGACTGAGTTTGGCCATGTTGCCCAGGCTGGTCTCGAACTCCTGACCTCAAGCCGTCCTTCCGCCTCGGCCTCCTGAAGCACAGGGGCCACAGGTGCGCGCCACCACTCCCGGCTAATTTTTGTATTTTTTTGTAGAGACCAAGTTTGGACTTGTTTCCCTGGCTAACGTCGGCCTCCCGAGGTGCTGGGATCACAGGTGGCACCATCCTCTCACCTGAAGCAGCATCAGGTCGTTCAGGTTCTGCTGGGGGTCGTAGCCATTCTCGCTCATGCTGCTGATGGAAAACGTCTGGCGGGACTGCCTCTCCCGCCGCCTCAGGTCATAGGCACCCAGCACCACGGTGCTAACCCCGGGGTTCCTGAGAGTAGCGGAGGAAAGGGCAGAGGGAGGACACCAGGCTGGGGCCTGGGCACAGAGCAAGCCGGCTTGCAAATTAGGGGGGATCCCAGCCTGCAGACTGCAATCCTTCACCCTGAAAACTCCCCCGCTTTTACAGAAGCAGAGCCGAGACTTTCCAGGGCCCCCTTCCCATCTTGAGCCCCTTCCCTTCTCTGCGCCTCCTCCTCCATCTGAGCCCCTTCTCTTCTCTGCGCCCCCTCCTCCATCTGAGTCCCTTCCCTTCTCTGAGCCTCCTCCATCTGACCCCCTCCCCTTCTCTGCACCTCCTCCATCTGAGCCCCTTCCCTTATCTGGGCCTCCCCCATCTGACCCCCTTCCCTTCTCTGCACCTCCCCCATCTGACCCCATTCCCTTATCTGGGCCTCCCCCATCTGACCCCCTTCCCTTCTCTGCACCTCCTCCATCTGACCCCCTTCCCTTCTCTGCGCCTCCCCCATCTGAGCCCCTTCCCTTCCCTGGGCCTCCCCCATCTGACCCCCTTCCCTTCTCTGCCCCTCCTCCATCTGAGCCCCTTCCCTTCCCTGGGCCTCCCCCATCTGACCCCCTTCCCTTCTCTGCACCTCCTCCATCTGACCCCCTTCCCTTCTCCGCACCTCCTCCATCTGAGGCCCTTCCCTTCTCTGCACCTCCTCCATCTGAGGCCCTTCTCTTCTCTGCACCTCCTCCATCTGAGCCCCTTCCCTTCTCTGCACCTCCTCCATCTGAGCCCCTTCCCTTCTCTGGGCCTCCCCCATCTGACCCCCTTCCCTTCTCTGCACCTCCTCCATCTGAGCCCCTTCCTTTCTCTGGGCCCCCTCCTCCATCTGAGCCCCTTCCCTTCTCTGGGCCTCCCCCATCTGACCCCCTTTCCTTCACTGCACCTCCTCCATCTGAGCCTCTTCCTTTCTCTGGGCCTCCTCCATCTGACCCCCTTCCCTTCTCTGGGCCTCCTCCATCTGAGCCCCCCAATATCCTTGGGTCCCTCCTCAACTCAGTCCCCATTTCCCTCTCCAAGCCCCCTCCTTTCCCTGAGCCCCTCCTTTTGCAATCCCCTCCCCTCCTCACCTACCAAGCACCCCCACTGAATGCCTAAGCCCCCCAAGCCCCTTCTCTGAGCCCCAATGCCCCCTAGGCCCCCTCCCCAGGACCCCTCACTGGCTTTGGAAGCAGCTGGCCGCGGTCATCACGAAGCGGGCATGGATCAGGGCACCCCCGCAGAAGTGCCTGCCTTGATTCTGAATGGAGGCCAGGAACGGGAACTGGCGGGGCCTCGCCTTCCGGCCGCCAACGATGTCCAAAAGGGGGCTGGAGCCTGGGTCGGGGGGAGACAGCTCTGAGATCCCCAAGAATCCACACAGTGGCCGGGAGGGCGTGTGAAGCTGCAGCCTCAGCTCTATCCACCCAGTGGGGCTGCGGGGGGACCCACCCTCCCCCATCGTCCCACTCCCTAAGAGGACAGGGGGCCCCTGAGTCCCGCACACCGTCCGCCCTCACGCCTTTCGCGGGATCGTCCAGGCCGGGCTGGCTGTGTGACCCAGGCCAAGCCGCTTGCCTTCTCTGTGCTTTAAGTCTGAGTTCTGCCCTGGCAGCCGGGCCCTAGCACAGATGGGGGACCACCGGCACAGAGAGGCACTCACCGGCCCTCGAGGACGCCAGCAGACCAGCCAGCAGGGCCAGGACTGTCAGCCGGGTCATGGCGGGGCAGGTCTGTGGCTAAGGCGGCGGCTGCCCTTATACACAGGCCTTGGCAGTTGGTGGCGTCCCCGCCCAGGCCCAGGGACAGCCCCACTCAGTGGGAACACGGGAAATTGCCCAAGGCCTCCACCGCCAACTGCTCCCTGGGCCAGCCTGGGCTCCCCCTACATTCTGCACTGATCCTCAGTTTCCCTCTCTAGAAGATGGCCACACCCCCAGGGGCAGGTGAGGGTGTCAGGAACCAGTGGATCCCGGAGCCCAGCACATGGCGGGCATGCAGCCAGCACCCAGGAACATTGCCAGCTCAGAGTCCCAGTCTCCCCATCCCAAGCCACTGGGGCTCCAGCACTGCCCGCTGGGCCTGGCACCGGGGGGCTCAGGGCAGTGGAGCTGGCAGTCCTGCGTTGAGTCCTGCGCGTCTGTATGGGTGATTATTATTATTATTATTATTATTATTATTTTGAGACGGAGTTTCGCTCTTGTTGCCCAGGCTGGAGTGCAATGGTGTGATCTCGACTCACTGCAACCTCCGCCTCCCAGGCTCAAGTGATTCTCCTGTCTCAGCCTCCTGAGTAGCTAGGATTACAGTTGTCCACCACCACGCCTGGCTAATTTTTTGTATTTTTAGTAGAGATGGGGTTTCACTATATTGGCCAGGCTGGTCTCAAACTCCCGACCTCAGGTGATCCACCCACCTCGGCCTCCCAAAATGCTGGGATTACAGGTGTGAAACACTGTGCCCGATTGGGTGATTTTTTTAAACTTTTTCAACAGCTTTATTGAGATATAATTGACAAGCTGGGTGCGGTGGCTCACACCTGTAATCCTAGCACTCTGGGAGGCCGAGGCAGGCAGATCACCTGAGGTTGGGCGTTCAAGACCAGCCTGACCAACATGGAGAAACCCCATCTCTACTAAAAATACAAAATTAACTGGGCGTGGTGGCACATGCCTGTAATCCCAGCTACTCAGGAGGCTGAGGCAGGAGAATCACTTGAACCTGGGAGGCGGAGGTTGCAGCGAGCCGAGATCGCACCATTGCACTCCAGCCTGGGCGACAAGAGCAAAACTCCATTTCAAAAAAAAAAAAGAAATTAGCTGGGCGTGGTGGCGGGCGCCTATAGTCCCAGCTACTTGGGAAGCTGAGACAGGATAATCGCTTGAACCTGGGAGGTGGAGGTTGCAGTGAGCCGAGATTGCGCCACTGCACTCCAGCCTGGGTGACACAGAGAGACTCCGTCTCAAAAAAAATAAATAAAAACAAATTAAAAACTATATAAAAATAAATAGACGAAATGTCCAGAACAAGCAAATCTGCAGAGGCAGGAAGTGGATCTGTGGTTGCCAGGGGCCGGGGGAGGGCAGGGGGTGATGGCTGATGGATGGAGATGGGGCTTCCTTCTTTGGGGTGATGGAATGTTCTGGGACTGGACAGCAGTGATGGTTGCACAAGTCGGTGAATGCACCGAAAACCACTTCACTGTACCGTTCAAAATGGCTAATTTTAAGTTATGTAAATTTCATCTCCTTCTTTTGTTTTTTTCAGAGTTGAGGTCTCGCTGTTGCCCAGGCTGGAGGGCAGCGGCACCATCTCAGCTCACTGCAGCCTCAATCTCCTGGGTTCAACTGATCCTCCTGCCTCAGCCTCCCGAGTAGCTGGGACCACAGGCACCCGCCACCGTGCCCGGCTAATTTTTGTATATTTTGTAGAGATGGGATCTCACTATGTTGCCCAGGGTGGAGTGCAGTGGCACGATCTCAGCTCGCTGCAGCCTCCGATTCCCGGGTTCCAGCAATCCTCCTGCCTCAGCCTCCCAGGTAGCTGGGACCATAGGCACATGCCACCATGCCCGGCTAATTTTTGTATTTTTTTGTAGAGGTGGAGTCTCACTATGTTGCTCGGGCTGGTTTGAAACTCCTAAGCTCAAGCAATCCACCTGCCTCGGCCTCCCAAAGTGCTGGGAGCACAGGTGTGAGCTACTGCGTCCAAACTCACCTCCATTTTTTACAAAGGGGCTCATTTCCAAGGTGAAACTGAGGTCTGGAGCTTACCGTGTCCCCCACACCCTTGGGGACACCAGTTTGTGTCTGGGCCTGTGGGAGCCCTCTGAGGGCAGTTTGCCCCTCCAAGGGGCGGATACGGGGAGAGTCCAGGGAGGCGGGGCCGGTGTGCCTTGAGGTCCGCTGCCCATCGGGAATGTAGGGTCCCAGGGCTCAAATCTGGTCTCCAGGCCGGGAGCGGTGGCTCACACCTGTAATCTCAGCACTTTGGGAGGCCGAGGCGGGCGGATCATGAGGTCAGGAGATCAAGACCTTCCTGGCTAACACGGTGAAACCCCATCTCTACTAAAGATACAAAAAATTAGCCGGGCGTGGTGGTGGGCGCCTGTAGTCCCAGCTACTCAGGAGGCTGAGGCAGGAGAATGGCGTGAACCCAGGAGGCGGAGCTTGCAGTGAGCCGAGATCGTGCCACTGCACTCCAGCCCGGGAGACAGTGAGACTCCATCTCAAAAAAATAATAATAATAATAATAATTCCGGTCTCCACTGAGTTTCACAGCCCAGCCACCTCACAGGGTCCATGGCACAGCCCCCAGATCCCTGCCTCCGTCCAAGCCAGCTCTCCCTCTCTGCCCACCCCGGATCCTACCTGTCCATCTTCCCTGCGGAGGCCCCAGCCTCCATCCACCCTGTCCTGGCCAAACGTGGGCCTCAGCTCTCCCGTGGGCCAGGCCCCATTTCCCCTCTGCCGGGAGCCGGAAGCTCTGTCCCTCCCAGTCGCATGACCTCAGGGCGAGCTCGCTGTCTGCACGTCAGTGTGCCCTGAGACAGGGATAGACTCTGCCTTCTAGACAGAACAGTGCTGAGCATGGAGTGGGGTTCATATTCTGAAAAGTTTTTGAGGCCGGGCGTGGTGGCTCACGCCTGTAATCCCAGTGCCTTGGGAGGCCGAGGTGGGAGGATCACTTGAGCCCAGGAGTTTGAGACCAGCCTTGGCAACATGGTGAGACCCTCTCTCTATTAAAAAAAAAAAAAAAAAGCTGGGCGCGGTGGCTCACGCCTGTAATCCCAGCACTTTGGGAGGCCAAGACGGGCGGATCACGAGGTCAGGAGATCAAGACCATCCTGGCTAACACGGTGAAACACCGTCTCTACTAAAAATACAAAAGAATTACCCGGGCATAGTCCTGGGCGCCTGCGGTCCCAGCTACTCGGGAGGCTGAGGCAGGAGAATGGCGTGAACCCGGGAGGTGGAGCTTGCAGTGAGCCGAGATCGCGCCACTGCACTCCAGCCTAGACGACAGAGTGCAACTCCGTCTCCCAAAAAAAAAAAAAAAGGCTGGGCTCCGTGGCTCCCCTGTCATCCCAGTACTTTGGGAGGCTGAGGCAGCAGATCAGCTGAGGTCAGGAGATCAACACCAGCCTGACCAACATGGGGAGATCCTCTTTCTACTAAAAATACAAAAATTAGCCCGTCGTGGTGGCAGGCGCCTATAATCCCAACTACTCGGGAGGCTGAGGAGGGAGAATCACTTGAACCCAGGAGGTGGGAGGTTGCAGTGAGCTGAAATCGCACGATTGCACTCCAGCCTGGGCGACAGAGCAAGAGTCCATCTCAAAATAATAGTAATAATAATAATAATCATTTTTAAATAAAAGTTTTGAGCAGCGTCTGGTACGCTCAACCCCTCCGGCCTGCTCGGAACTCTCCCATCACTCAAGCCCAGGCCCCACACTCAAGCCCAGGCCCCTCAGCCAAGCAACGTGCCCTCCATGGCCAGGCCTGCCCCATCTCCACCACTGGTGATCCTAGGGGGAGAAGACCCTGAGACTCCCCCAGATCTTCTGTTGGACCCCCAAGCTGCCAGGAGGGTCCCCCTGCACACTCTCCCACTCCTGACCTCAGAAGGCTCCTGAAAATCAATTGCATTTTCCTCCTCCTCCCCCAGAGAGCTGTTTGTGGTCACCTTGCAACACCCAGATTCCCAACGGCCACTCTGGCCCCGCCTCTCACAGGCCAGGAAAACAGCCGCAGCCACAGCAGGCAACGTCCCCCTTCTCCAGGGCTGTTGGGGAGGAACAGGATCGCATCGAATGGGACCCACCTGTGACCAACTGCTCACAGGGCCTCCCCGAGCCCCCCTGCAGGAACCGGGGGGCCAAAGACCCCTCCCCAGGCAGTCCGTGCAGTCCTGTCCCAGGAAGCTGGGCTGCCTCCGAGTCCATCCAAAGGTAGCAACACCATTGAGTTCCCATCCTATTCCCATCGCCATTTAACTGTTTCCGCATTTATGGCAGGCGACCCTCTTCCCGGGGGCAGCAGTGCCTGTTATGAGCAAACTAAGGTATCTAGCAGGGCTCCAACCCTCTGGAGTCACTGTTTGTTTGTTTTTTTTTTTTTTTTTGAGATAGAGTCTCCTTCTGTCGCCCAGGCTGGAGGGCAATGGTGCCATCTCGGCTCACTGCAACCTCCGCCTCCCAGGTTCAAGCAATTCTCCTGCCTCAGCCTCCCATCTGGCTGGGATTACAGGCGCCTGCCACCATGTCCGGCTAATTTTTATATTTTTAGTAGAGATGGGGTTTCACCATGTTGGCCAGGCTGGTCTGGAACTCCTGGCCTCAAGGGATCCTCCCGCCTCTGCCTCCCAAAGTGCTGGGATTATAGGCCTGAGCCACTGCACCCAGCCTGGAAGTCACTCTTTGTTTGTTTGTTTGTTTGTTTGTTTTGAGACAGAGTCTCGCTCTTGTTGCCCAGGCTGGAGTGCAGTGGCACGATCTCGGCTCACTGCAACCTCCGCTTCCCAGGTTCAAGCGATTCTCCTGCCTCAGCCTCCCGAGTAGCTGGGATTACAGGCATGAGCCACCACACCCTAAAAATTTTTGTATTTTTAGTAGAGACGGGGTTTCACCATGTTGTCCAGGCTGGTCTCGAACTCCTGCCCTCGTGATCCGCCCGCCTCGACCTCCCAAAGTGCTGGGATTACAGGCCTGAGCCACCGCGCACGGCCCAAAAACCGATTTTTGTAAATCCTGCCGTTTGGGGCCCGGAGACCTCGGATTGCGACCCAGGGTGCCCAAGCCTCAGTTTCCCCATCCCTACAACGGGGGTCAACCAGCCCCTACCCCGCAGGGCTGCGCATATGGAGGAGGAAATGCACGCAGACAGCAGGCACTGCCCGAGTGCGGGTCCCGAGGGCCCTGCCCGCATCCCGCAGCCCCCAGCCCCCAGCCCCGCGCCCCGCAATCCCGCCGTGCGCACCGAGCGGCTGCGGCCAGGCGGAGGGTGGACCCCGGCGCGGCGGAGGGGGCGAGGGTGAGTGCGGGGGGAAGGGAGGGAGGCACCGGGAGACCCCCCAGTCCCCCTCCCCCAGCTCTTTTGTCTCCGATGCTCCGGGCGCCCTGGGAGCCTCGCCATGGAAACGCGCACCAGCGAGCGGCGGGCTCCGCGGAGGGGCGGGCGGAGGCGCGGGGCGGGGGCAGTCGGAGCCGGCGAGAGACCGTGAGAGACACGGAGACAGTCAGAGACCCCGAAACCCCAACCCCCGCCCCCGCCTCCGCCCCCGTCTCGATGGCGCCCCCCGGGCCGACCGCAGCCACCCGGGAGGGGAGGACGGGACCGTCACCGCCGCAGGCCCGAAGGGAGGAGGACGCGACCCCCGAGCCCCGCCAGCCGCTCGCGCAGACCTGAGACCCCCGAGACCCCCGGCGGTGGGAGGCGGCGCCAGGGAGGCGGGGACGGTGCGCGGGGCCTGCGGAGGACGCGCCCAGACAAAGAGCCCCCGCCCCTGGCTGCGGCGTCTGGGCTGCGGCGTCTGGGCGCGCGCGGGGGTCTCCGGGCCGGACCCTCCCCTCCCCCGTCCCCCTCCCCTTCCCGGCTCCCGGCCCCGCCCCACGGAGGAGACGCGCTTTGTGCTGGGCGCCGGCCGCGCCAGGTGAGGGGCTGTGGGGCTGGGGGCGCGGACCCAGTCTCCTCCGCCGCCCGGAACCCCAGTTCTCCCGGATGCCCCCCACCACCACGCGGGGACTGGCTCCCGCCCGGAGACCCCCCGCCCTCCTCGGCGATCCCGGCCCCGACCCCCCGATCCCGGGTGTAGGGGCGCCCGGAAGCCGCGTGCTGGGCCGGGGCGCGGGGAGGCCACGCGGACGCCGCTCTCTGCAGCCTCAGTTTCCCCGACCGCCCCTCCCCCGCCGGCGCCGGCCACCGTGTCTCCCCCGGGCTCCGCCTGCGCGCCCCCCTCCAGCGCCGCTTTCTCCCCTCCAGCCACGGCCTGCGGCGCCCGCGGCACCATGATCTCCACCAAGGAGAAGAACAAGATCCCGAAGGACAGCATGACGCTTCTGCCCTGCTTCTACTTCGTGGAGGTGGGTGGGGGTCGCGCTGGGGCCCGGGGGAGACGCCTCGGTTCCGCCCGCCCGCAGAGACCCCCGCGCTGGGGGACCGGAGCCGGCGCAGCTGCCCCGGCAGTGGCCTCGGGGCGGGGCAGGACCGGGGTGTCCGGCGGATGGGGGGTGGGGCAGAGGACTTGGGCTGTGCGGGTCGAGTAGGAGCTCCAGAGGAACCGAGGGGGGTCCAGGCCGTGGGAACTGTGGGCAGGTGCTAGGAGGGGAGCCCTTCTGACCAAGGTGTGGTCAGAGGGGCTGGGGGTCGGGGGCTGGGGGCCTGGAGGGGGCGGGGAGGCCGGAGGGGGT